>NC_000021.9:44853232-45007128 GCF_000001405.40 Homo sapiens
TGTGGTGGCTCATGCCTATAATCCCAGCACTCTGGGAGGCCGAGGCGGGCGGATCACGAGGTCAGGAGATTGAGACCATCCTGGCTAACACAGTGAAACCCCATCTCTACTAAAAAATACAAAAAATTAGCTGGGCGTAGTGGTGGGCACCTGTAGTCCCAGCTACTCAGGAGGCTGAGGCAGAAGAATGGTGTGAACCTGGGAGGCAGAGCTTGCAGTGAGCTGACATCGCGCCACTGCACTCCAGCCTGGGCGACAAGGTGAGACTCCGTCTCAAAAAAAAAAAAAAAAAAAAATTAGGTGCCAAAAAGCTCTTGACTCTTCCATTTCAAGGAAAGCACAATGCCTCCAGCCAAGGCCTGCAGAGATGCTGCTGGGCCCACGCTCCACGTACACAGGCATGCACTCGCTGAGGAGGGCAACCCTGGTGCTGCTCCTTATGACAGTCACACGCAGGTACCCGGTCACCACCCACTCCAGACACACACCGGGAAACAACAGGCGACAGAGAGGGTGGGGCAAGGACAAGGCAGCAGTGAAGAGAACCCAGAGAGTCAGCGCCCAAGCACACGGCACTCAGGAGACTGATGGGCGGGAACACATAGGAAAAAGCCTCTATCAGCCACTGGGCATCTCGAGGCCAGCAGCCAAGGCAGCCTCACGCCCCCAAGCCGACACTTCGAGACCGGCAGGACTCACGTGGCCTCAGGTCACAGCACAGTCACATGGAGGTGACTTTCCAAGGAGGCCAGAACTGACAGGGAGGGGACGTCCCGGCCAGTGGGCAGAGCCACCCAGCGTTTACAGTCCAGGGCACCAGCAGCATGGGGCCTCTGCAGCCCCCATGAGAGGGAACCCAACGCCAATCACCTGCACCTGACGGAGGCGCCGCTCACAGTGGCTGCTGGGCTTTGCCGTCCACCCCCCACCCGATGACCGAGAACCGCAGCGACGTCCTCATGCCCCCAGTGGGTGGGACCCTAAAATACCACAAATATATGATATTCCCTAAAACAAACAGAAGACTCAAAACACGTGCATTAGTCAGAAAAGGCTCTGAAATTTTCCAATTAGGTTTAGCCTTTAATATACTGCTTCAAGGAAAGCACCGTGGGCGCAGGACGACAGATTCCTGAGGCCCACGGCTGCCATGAACCCAGGACCACGCACCTCGCACAGGCGAGGAGTCAGTTCCCACCATGTCCATGACGCCACACAACCACAAACCCAGCGCGGGAGACGCCCATGACACCACACAACCACAAACCCAGCGCGGGAGACACTAGACTCTTTGCGGACTTTAAAATCATACAGAATCAACGAAGCACGGCTGGGTGGTGGTGTTCAGTGTTAAGCAGTGAACATCACGTGGTTTGGGGGAGTATAGATAACGTAATGTGTATTTCCAATTCACTCCAACTAAATAAAAGGTTTACACTTGGCAAATACATTCATTCTGGCTCCTTCAAAGCTCCTCTCCAAAATCTCTCCAGACACAACCAAACAAGAACAGAACGCCGAGGCTGGGCGAGAAGGAGCAGGGCCGGTGCTGGGGAGTGCTTGGAAGGAGCGCCTGCCACACTCAGAAGATGGCAACGAGCAACGCTCCCGAGGATGAGAGGGCCGCCCTGAAACTCACAGCACCTCGGCTACGCAGGCGTGCCCACAGGAAGCCAAACACGACGGCAGAACAGCTGCAGACTTCCAGCCCAGAAGTCTTGGGACTCGATAAGCAAACAGCTATCTGAGAAAACAGACTTCATGAAGACGACTGGCTGAGATAAAGATATTCTTAGGAGTGAGTTCACCACAGAACCGCTGGGGACAACCGCCAGCTGCTCCTCTCTGGAGAGACGTCCTTCTGTTCCGATGGGTGAACCCACAGCCCCATCTCAGGCCACACTGGCACTAACGAGGACCGAGACAGCGTGCCATCGCCTCCCAACCAGACAAAAAGGAGGCGTGACCAGTCCTTACCATATTTTTTTCTGATTTCATCATGTCTTGTCTTCATCTCTGCTCTCCTAAAACACAGAGGAACATTATGAGCACCAAACGACAGCGCACGGTGGTGTAACTGCTAGACACGCCCTTCCGTGTCCCTCAGTGGGGGCGCCAGGTTTCTTCTGGTGGCTTCCCTCCAGTTCCCAGAGTGAAACCAGGGTGAGGACAAGCTTGGTCATCAGGCCACATACCCACCAGGACAGGCAAGGTGACAACGAACCCAGTCTTCAAAGGCCGTTCCAATGTATTACTCTACTCTTTTCAATAAAAGCAATTCAAATGCCCAATACCGTGATTTTTAAAAAGCTTTTTTCATACAAAGAAAACACAGTAAAAATCATACACCAGGTTCTGAAGATGGTGAGGAAAATGCGATTGTCAGCTTTTACTTAGTAGCATGTGACTTCAAGGTGACTACATGGAAAATCTGTCCCGCTTCCACCCTCGCCCGCCGCCAACCTGACAGTTGGCCCCTCAGGTCCTCTCCTTTGCCAGGTGTGGATTACACCACCTCCTCCTGGGGTTGCCCCAGAGCCCCAGCAAGCACTCAGGAGAGTGCTGTGTCACCAGGGAAAGGGCGACAGGAGAGCTGACCCAGCCACAGTCAGACGCTGTCCCCTCTGAGCCTCAGCTTGCTCTTGGCAAATGCTGGGCCTGGACGAGCCGCCTTAGCAGCCGTCACACACCCGTGTCACCGCGCACAGACTCAGCCTTACTGCACCGATGGGAGGACACCGGGCGAGGAAGCCTATAGAAGCAAGGTTCGCAGCCACTGCTAGGTTCCCATCACAGTCTCTCGCTCTCTACCACGACCTAGAAGATCCCCTGGGCACTATACACATTCTTAATTTCTAAAAACTGAGGAAAACTCAGGATGTATCCATGTGATTTCCATGGCCTTGCAGATCTGAATCCCCTCGAAGTAACCTTCCCAGCGGGCATCACCACCACCTCACCGTTCCTCCTGCCGTATCCGCCTCTCCTCCCGCTCACGCATGGCCTTCTCCTCACTCCTGTCCGGCTTCCGGCTCCTCTTCCTCCTGCAGCAGCAGCAGCAGCAGATGGCAATGCCCAGGAGGAGGGTTCCCCCGACTACCGACATGGTGATGATCAGCGCCTCAAAGTTCACTGGAGATTCAAGCACCTGGAGTTAGGGCCGCCCCAGACACAGAACCCACCCAGCACAGCAGCCTTCCCTCGCCCCTGGGGAACAACCTCAGGACACAGGAGCATAAGGAGGAAAGCCGCCTCGGCCAGGCTGCTGGCTCCTGGCGTGTGGAGAGCCTGTGGCCCTGCCTCCACCCCACAGGGTCCCGCCCTCTCCAAGTCTCCTTTCAGCCACACGTTCCTATCTGTGACTTAGAATTTATTAACAATTTATAATATTAACCATAATGAACTGAAGTGACAGGGTAGTCTGTCTCAGCTGAGTTTGAAAAGGTATTTCAAGCCTGAGAAAAGTTAACTAACCAAAATTCCAAGCTACATACTCAGACTCTCGTAAGACATTCTAAACTCACAGAAATGGAGGTTAAGCCTGATGCAGCTTTCTTTTTTTTTATTTAAACCAAAGTCAAGAATATTACAATGATTTACAAGAGAAATAGACTCTCAGGGCACATACTGGCGGCCAGGTTCGAAAAGAATGACCGTGGAGGAGCGGACGAGACCACGGAACAAGACGGGATCATCTTCAAATCTGAGTGTTTTGAGGACCTTGGGGCTGAAGAACGGCTGGCTAATCGGTCCCAAACCCTGTTATGATTTCCTTAACCAGCCTTCAGACACACGTGCACATTTAAAACAGATCTTACTATCCTTTTAAACTTCTTTTGAAGATCTATACATTGAAATCAGCCAAGATTTTTCCATTCAGTTCAAACCAGAGGCAATTAAAAAATACCCTAAAACTACTTTTGCAAATGTGTTTTCAATCATGTAGTTCAAACAGCCTCCTTGGCTGGACACAGTGGCTCACACCTATAATCCCAGCACTTTGGGAGGCCAAATCGGGAGGATTGCTTGAGCCCAGGAGTTCAACACCCGCCCAGCCAACAAAGTGAGACCCAGCCCTGCCCATCTCTACAAAACTGTTTAACAAATTAACTGGGTGTGGTGCATGCACCTCTGGTCCCAGCGACATGGGAGGCTGAGGTGGGAGGATCGCTTGAGCTTGGGAGGTTGAGGCTGCAGTGAGCCGTGCCTACACTATTGCACTCCAGCCCGGGCAACACGGCAAGACACCATCTTGAAACAAACAAAAAACACCCAGCCAGCCTCCTGAAGATGGCTTTATAAGCAAACTCCCCTGGGCAGTAGATTACCGCATGATTCACTGTTTTTAACTACAGTTAATAGCTGTGCCACCACCACAGGTGACACCGTCTCACCTCCAGGGGCTGGGAGTTGAACACTTGCTGCATGCCTGGGCCCTGGCAAGGAGGCCGACGGCCAGGCCTCTGGGGCTCCCGCAGCCTCACCCCTCTGCTGCCCCGGACGCTGAGATCCGCATTTCTTAGTTTATTAAAATAGTTTGAAAATCAGGAATAGGAGGTTACATCTGATCAAATGCCTTTTGAGCTTTTAATCCTGTGTTTTTTCCTCCTCTGACCTGTTCTGGAAGCGTAGAATTGCAAAAATTATAGTAAGAGGGAGAACTACAGAGGGGACCTTCATTGGCAGAAGATGTCATTTTCTGACTGGAGAACTCCAATGAGATCAACAAGATGGCTGGCCTTAAAACATATCTACCCCTCAGATAGCTTTTCTGATTAGCAGCTAAAACTAGTTAAAAACAAACAGAAATCCTGTCACAATGGGAAACAAACTCTGGGCTCCTTTTGCTGATTCCATAGGGTAAAACCCATGAACTTGAACTTGAACCAAAGGATGTGGGAGAGGCCTGAAAGAGAGGCATCTTTGCCTCTGGACAAACGGCCAACGCTGTAGACATTTCATTTTCCTTCAAGTAAGCATGTTTATCAGGCCATTACAATTAAAGCTCCAAAATAATTTTGGCTAGAACTGGATAAAATGGTTCTAAGGTTACCTGTAAGAATAAACAAGGACCTGTGGTGCAAGACCTAAAACGGGTATCATGTGCGCCGCGGCATCTGGTGAAATCAGGAGGGCCCTGAGGGCCCGGCCACAACTGCTCCTCCCCACTCTGCTCCCGTGGGCAAGGCTGGACAAGGTCCCAGCTCAGACAGCCTCTTCCTCCTCCCGGCAGGGCCAGGCACACTTTCTGTTTCTCCCGGAGGAGCAGGTGTCAGTTCCCTCTCAGCCTCAGAATTAACCAAACAAGCCCATCGCACCCCACCCTCCTGTCACGAAATGGCTGCCTCCCCGAGCCCTGTTCCCCTGCGGGACCCTGCGTGGCGTGTGGTGCCCCCTCCCCACTGTGACTGTGACTAGTCACCTGCTGCCGCTCTCATGTGCAGGGCTGGGTGTTGTGTGTCCATCCACTTCTGCAGCCTAGCGTGGGGATGTCATTTCACAAGAGAATTGTCAAAAACACCCACCACTTGTAAAGGTGCTCAGCACGATCGGCTAGTCACTGCAGAAATGCAGGTGAGAAGCACAAGACACCACTACACACCCACTAGATGGACTGAACTTAGGGTGACTGGTTACCCTAAACATTGGGAAGGATGTGGAGCAACCAAGTCCCACATTGCCTGAGGGAGGCCAAACTGGTACAGCCACTCCAAAAACATTTGGCAGACGTACTAAGGCTAAACACAAATATGCTCCGTGACACAGCAACTCCACCCCTACACTCCTCCAGACGTGAGCGCCTGTGCCGGCACCAACACAACACCGCTCACAGCAGCACCAGAAGGACCCAGGCGTCCCTGAGTGGCAGCATGGCTGAACAGCTGTAGAACACTGCACGAGAAAGATAACTGGTGCAGGCAATTGACACGAATCTCGGGCACATGCTGAATAAAACATCCAATAAAGCACAGGATTTCCTCCACATAAAGGCGGGAACCAGTAACATTAATCTGTGGTGACGGGAAGTCCAGTCAGTGGCTCCCATGGGGGTCCTGACAGGAATTGGGCCTTCTGAAAGTCCTGGAAGTCCTACCTACTTTGCTGTGAGTGGTGATAACCTGTATACGTATGCAAAAATGCACTGAATATATGTACGCACACACGTGTGCATTATGTAGGCTATAAGCCGCGGTCCATGTAGGCACACACGTGTGCATTATGTAGGCTATAAACTGCGGTCCATGCAGGCACACATGTGTGCATTATGTAGGCTATAAAGTCCATGCAGAGAGAGACTTCAGATGTGTGCACTTCATGAGAAGCTACATGCCATTAAAAACACCTCCAGAACAGGTGTTCCAAAGGGCAAGGCTCCCCAGGTCCAGGAGCTGTGTCTTCAGAGTGGTCATTAAGAGAAGTTCCATGGAAGGGATGAGTTCACAAACACACATGCATCACACACAGTACACACATCACACATGAAGGTGCACACACACCACCACCACCCCCTGCCAGACATCCCACACTACAACCACCACCACCACACAAACTTTTGAATTCTCTAGGGCCTCAACACCAGCAACAAGTTGTTTCAGATGGAGGCTGATAGATTTTGAAATGGAAATCAATTAGAAGAGTGGTAAGTAAGACGTAAGTTGCAGAGGGATCCAAGATGCAAATAAACAAAAAGAATCATCAAAACACCTTAAGAAAATATTGCTTCTTTACAAAGTTTAGGAACCCTATGTATTACCCCAAAACCTGAAGCCTAAAAGATTAATAAATTCAACTACATAATAATGAGTTCTAGGTTACAAAACACACCACAAACTGATTTAAAAGGCAAACTACGGGGCTGGGCGCAGTGGCTCACGCCTGTAATCCCAGCACTTTGGGAGGCTGAGGTGGGCAGATCATGAGGTCAGGAGATCGAGACCATCCTGGCTAACACAGTGAAACCCCGTCTCTACTAAAAAATACAAGAAATTAGCCGGACGTGGTGGCGGGCACCTGTAGTCCCAGCTACTCAGGAGGCTGAGGCAGGAGAATGGCGTGAACCTGGGAGGCGGAGCTTGCAGTGAGCCAAGATAGTGCCATTGCACTCCAGCCCGTCTCAAAAATAAATAAATAAATAAATAAAGGCAAACTAGAAAACAACTTGAATCTCACAAGAGCTGATTTCCTTAATTTAAAAACGCCTCCAAAATCAAATATACAAAGATACGCACACAAAAAAAGAGGGCTGTCTACGCAAGCAGGGATTCTTAAGCTGGGAAAACTGGAGATTCTAGGGGAATTCACAGGTGAGTTTCAGGGGTGACACATGAACAAAACATACTGAGCAGAGAAGTCAAACACGTTGCCTTCAAACTCACCCTTTTCCCCACACCTTCTGTAACGTGGTGAGATAGAGCTCAGTGCTGGGGCTGACCACCTTGAAGGAGGTCCTCCAGGTTCCCCAGGGCTGCTTTCCCGGTCAGCAGATCACCCCTGGCTTCCCAACCTCTCCCTGGGAGTCACAGAGCTACTGGCAGCACATTTTCTAGCAACTTCTGCTAACTGAGCACATAATACTATTTTCTTTTTTTTTTGAGACAGTCTCGCTCTGTCGCCAGGCTGGAGTGCAGTGGCACGATCTCGGCTCACTGCAAACTCCGCCTCCCGGGTTCAAGCAATTCTCCTGTCTCAGCCTCCCAAGTAGCTGGGATTACAAGTGCATGCCACCACGCCCACCTAATTTTTGTATTTTTAATAGAGACGGGGCTTCACCATGTTAGCCAGGATGGTCTCAATCTCCTGACCTCTTGATCCACCCGCCTCCGCCTCCCAAAGTGCTGGGATTACAGACGTGAGCCACCGCGCCCGGCCCATACTACTATTTTCAAAGAAGCATCGATTTTGCAAGCAGCAAATGAAAACAATGACTTACCCCAACAAACTCCCCAGCGTGCAGAGCTCAATTTACAAAGGGAAGCCGGTGGCAAGACGCTTGTAACTGGGTAGTCCAGACAAGCCTTGTTAGTGTTGCACCAAAGACACTGAAAGAGACCAACATTAAGCAAGCATTAGAAACAACAGAAAAACCAAAGAACTGTCCAGGCTCTGCCCACAGCCCGCCAGTGCTGCCATCGCTCTGTGGATGGCTGTAAAGGCTCAACCTCCCCCTCAACGCCTCATCTCTGCCTTCACCCTCAGCGCCCTTCGGTCCACACCCAGCACAGCGGCCAGCAGCCCTGTCAGCTCTCCACGGACTCATCCAAGGCCCGCGTCACTCAGGCCTCTTCCACAACTCACCCTGCTGAGGCCACGGGGCCTCTGTGTTGGCAGCCTCCTGAGTGCTGCCAACCCCACCTCATGCTCTCAGCCTCAGCTCAGCCTGCCGGTTCTGCCTGGAGCACTCTCCCCACATCTGTGTGGCTCCCCACTGACTGGATGGGCCCTGCCTCGATCAACAGACTGGACACAACCAGCCGCCTCCACCCCCTCCTCCTCACCTCCTGTGAGGTTTGCTTCCGTAGACCTCTCCTCCCCACACGCCGGGCACCTGTGCACTTCACTGGCTGAAGTCTCCCAAGAACACAGGACACAGCCTGGCCCATCACAGGCACTCACTGAGTTTGTGTTGAATGGACTTGGGTGAGCATGGTCACCATCTGTAGCAAGGACCATGCTTCCTACCTCTGACCTTCACAACTGCACTAAGTCGCACAGCTTGAAAGATGATGCAACTACGGCTCAGCCCGCCCTAAACTGACAGCTGGAGAGAACCTCATAGACGCTCTTGTCTGAGCCCCTTGAACGTCAGGTGTGAGGCCGCAGTGGTGTGGAGACAACACCATCACACCCGTGTGTGTGTGTGTAAGAGCCCAGAGCTGGGCCCAGCCCATGCCACAGCAGTACACAACGAGGCCCGAAAGCGGTCTGTGAGCCAGGCACTGAGCGTGACAGGGGACAGCCTAGCACGCAGGCAGATGGCACAGGAAGGGGTGAAAGAACTGCTGTTCGGGTCAGGCACGGTGGCTCACGCCTGTAATCCCAGCACTTTGGGAGGCCAGGAGGGCGGATCACCTGAGGTCAGAAGTTCGGGATCAGCCTGACCAACATGGAGAAACCCCATCTTTGTTAAAAATACAAAATAAGCCGGGCGTGGTGGCACATGCCTGTAATCCCAGCTACTCCAGAGGCTGAGGCAGGAGAATCGCTTGAGCCCAGGAGGCGCAGGTTGCGGTGAGCCGAGATCGCACCATTGCACTCCAGCCTGGGCAACAAGAGTGAAACTCCGTCTCAAAAGGAAAAAAAAAAGAACTGCCGTTCGGCAGCACCTCATGCGCCAGCCCAAGTCCAGACCCAAGTCCAGACTGCCTGTTACTCCCAATCTCCACATTAACAGTGTTACTGACTTTTTAATAGGATAGAAAGTCATGGCGTTTTTGGCCCAGGTTAGGGCAAAAGTCTATTACAAAAAAATATTAATTACAATGTCCCCTGGGCCTTCTTTCCCAGGGCTACTTATACAGTGACCACCTTAGTGTCGTGTTTAAGTGGTTTCCAGCATAATGTAACAATTAACAGTTAAACCCTGTTTATTCTGGTCATTTGGGAGTATCTTCCATTTCAGGGGTTTTGCTTGCAATTAACGATTTTTGGCTAATCCTCCCTTTTCAAGTGGCTCAAGTTGTAAATGTCTGATTTTCCATTTTTCCATGACAGTGGTACCATGAGCCACAGGACTGCACTGGGAGGATACGGTGTTCTCTGGTGGTTGTGCTGCTTTTCTGATCGATGAAGTAATATGCACATAGCAAGCAGCTCAGGCAGCAGCACAGACACACAGCCCGCCACGGCCTCGGCAACACAGAGACACACAGCCCGCCACGGCCTCAGCAGCACAGAGACACAGCCCACCACGGCCTCAGCAGCAGAGACACAGCCCACCACGGCCTCAGCAGCAGAGACACAGCCCACCACGGCCTCAGCAGCAGAGACACAGCCCACCACGGCCTCAGCAGCAGAGACACAGCCCGCCACGGCCTCGGCAACACAGAGACACACAGCCCGCCACGGCCTCAGGAGCGTGGACACAGCCCACCATAGCCACTGCTCCAACACGCAGGTCCTCTTGAGACCTCCCAGGCACTGACACCTCCTTCCAGAAACCTCCTGTGTGCCCAAGAGCACACCCACACACGCCTGGAGCTACTGTAGGGCAAGCGGCCCTCTTCACCGCCCTGTCTGGGTTCAGAACTGGAGTCAGGCCTTCAGCCCTTCTGGACTGGCCCCATCCACAATGACCTGGGCAAGTCCCTCAGCCGCCTCATCCACGAGATGGCTGTCATCACCACACCCTGCCCAGGGTGGTGAGGGTTACACAGGGTACTATGGCAAAAACGCACTCTAGGCTACAAAGCCACATACAATAGTGAGCTATGTTTAAAGCTGAAATGACTTCCAATAGAAAAATCCAGAGACTAAAAAGAAGCACCATCTAGAAAATGCACCAGGACCAGGCGCATTAGAGCAGGTTCAACATCACCAATGTCAAGATCTGAAACCACAGAAACAGCGTCTTTCAATTTTTAATCAGCAAATGCAAGTATCCACTTAAGTCCCACAAACTGACAGGGTGTGTCTCGAACCTACGCTACGGTCTCGTGGAGGAAGAAGAGTTTTTAAGAACATGGCTCATGCCTTAGAATAGAAATCATCGAATACATCTTTCCCGGCCTCCTCAAACCTACGCTACGGTCTCGTGGAGGAAGAAGAGTTTTTAAGAACATGGCTCATGCCTTAGAATAGAAATCATCGAATACATCTTTCCCGGCCTCCTCATATCATGAAACCTCATTGCCGGGGAAAGGAAGCCTCTGGCCCTGCAGTTCTCAAAACCTGGTAAACTCCTGACTGGAAGGGGCAAGGGGTGGGCGAGATCAGGAATCCTAAGAAAAAGGCCCCACAGGATGCTGTTTTCTGCCTAACCACTTCCCGCTGCCGTGGGCCTTCCCTCAGGTTTCCCGTGCTGATTTCATAGCGCTGCGAGGAGACTTGGGTGCTGCCGAACCAAGAGCTGCGTGGCAAGGCAAGCCCAAGAGGTGCCAGCCAGGCTGGCCCAGGCGCAGGCCACCACGCAGAGAAAACCAAAGGACCCTGTTCACACGTTTTTGTTTTTGTTTTTGTTTTTTAAAGACAGTTTTTTGCTCTTGTTGCCCAGGCTAGAGTGCAGTGGCACAATCTTGGCTCACTGCAACCTCCGACTTCCGGTTTCAAGAAATTCTCCTGCCTCAGCCTCTCAAGTAGCTGGGATTACAGGCACCCGCCACCACGCCTAGCTAATTGTTTTGTATTTTTAGTAGAGACGGGGTTTCACCATGTTGGTCAGGCTGGTCTCCAACTGCTGACCTCGTGATCCACCTGCCTCGGCCTCCCAAAGTGCTGGGATTACAGGCGTGAGCCACTGCACCCAGCCCTGTTCACACGTCTTTAACAAGACCTGCACTGTGATGCTGCTTCCCCACCACGGGTGCTCCTTCTTCCAGGTGGGCATCTGCATCAGTCTCCATCGGGAAGGCACCCCGGGGAGTCTCGGGCCCCACCTCATGCCGTGGAGGCTTAGGGAACTTTGCTCCAGACCGCTACCCTCTTGTTGAAGGTCACACAGGTAGTTAAAATCCAAACCTGAGCCCCAGGTCACGACCAGAGAGTGCTATGGACAGCCTGGCCCACCGGCCCAGAGGGCTGGTGCCTCTCTCTCCTTGCTGTGCCCCTTCCAATCCTGTGTGAGCAGCTGAGAAAGCAGTCTCTGCTGCAGCCCGACAGCCTGGGAAAACACGGGCTCACAACCTGAGGGTGTAGCTTTGCGGACAGCCAAATTTCTCGCTATGGGCCTCGTTAGGAAGACTGGCCACGCAGTGCTGGCCCCATCTGCATAGGAGTGAAATCATGGATACTGACCATGCTCAGACAGTAACTGCAGTTTTCATGAGAAGGTTTAATATACCTGAAATGGCTAAAATAACATTTGATAACGATTCCAAAAAACATCCCCCCAAATCCCAAACAACAGAGCCCTCCACACATCCCAGCGAATCCCTGGACCTAGAGAAAGCCCGTGTGCCTTTGGACGGTCTGGACGGCACTCTGGTCTCTAGTCCACGTGCTACTTACGGAGACGTTCTTCAGGCACTCTTCACAGGTTTTGTTTGTGTTCTGAGAACAAGCTGCAGGAAAGAGGCAAGAGACAAGTCAGTCACTGAGAATCAGGCAGTGTAAATATTAGTCCAGCAGGGCAGGGTGGGCACCAGTGAGGGGTGTGGCACCAAGAACCTCTGATGTGGAATTACCAAATGAAGGTCCTCTTCCTGAGCCCCTGCTGATAACAAGCCTTCTTCAAGACATGTGGAACGAGTGTTCAGGAACCCCGCTGCAGGCAGGGCACAAAGAGTATAAACATGCGGCTCCTATCCACAAGGGCTCTTCTGGGAGAGAAGAGTGCCAACACAGAAGGCTGTGTTTCAGATCTCTCTGTGAGAGGAAGTGTGCCCTGTGGCTGTGTAATCACTAACCACAAACCTGCTGGGACCTTCTGCTCATCAGCAGGCACTCTTTTGGGAACCCAAGAGCCTCCATCCGAGGCCACAGCAACGCCAGCGACACTGCCACGCAGCACACTTGTGTCTTTGGACTCACCTACAGATCTCATGTGACAAAGCAAGGTCTTAGTCCCCTGGTAGCCTCACTCCAGACTGGGCTATGCTCCCTGTACCAACCTGTACCAAGGGAGAGGCCCGGCACACCAGCCTGCTCCAACCACACAGAACACCCTGAGACTCTGCCCACTACTCAAAGCGCTGCTACTAAGGAAGGGGTCAAACTCCACGCAGCCAACAGCTCTGGAACTCAAGCCAGTCAGAAGCAAGAGCGACTGCATGAGTAACTTCCAACATGCAACCAAGCTGACTGCCTACTCCCCCAATCCTGTAACACACACACACACACACACACAGCCTACTCCCCCAATCCCATAACACACACACACACACGCAGACTGCCTACTCCCCCAATCCCGTAACACACACACAGACTGCCTACTCCCCCAATCCCATAACACACACACACACACACAGACTGCCTACTCCAATCCCATAACACACACACACACACACACACACAGAGACTGCCTACTCCAATCCCATAACACACACACACACACACACACAGAGTGCCTACTCCCCCAATCCCATAACACACACACACACACACACGCAGACTGCCTACTCCCCCAATCCCGTAACACACACGCAGACTGCCTACTCCCCCAATCCCGTAACACACACACAGACTGCCTACTCCCCCAATCCCATAACACACATACACACACACAGACTGCGTACTCCCCCAATCCCGTAACACACACACACACACACACACAGACTGCCTACTCCAATCCCATAACACACACACACACACACACACACAAACACAGTGCACGCTGAAAAGAGCTCTGTGCTCATCACCAGTCACCAGACAAAGGCAAATTAAAACTCCAAATGACAGATGACTACACACCTACCAGAATGGCTAAAATTAAAGAGAATGACAATACCAAATGTTGGCAAGGATGTACAGCAACAGAACTCTCACACAGTGTTGGTGGAAGTGTAAATGGCTCAACCATTTGCAAAGAAGGTCTGGCAGCTGCTCCTAAACAAACATGCGACCACCTATGACTCAGCAATTCCACTCTTAGTATTTCATCCAGGAGAGAAGGCGCCTGCATCCACAGATGGACCTGCGCAGGAAGGCTCCGTGACAGCCCCAAGCTGAACACAGCCCAGATGTCACTCTGTAGGAGGGTGGACAGACAGACTGGAACACTCACACGATACCAGCAGGGCATCAAGAATAGCAAACATGCGGCTCTCGTATCAAGGGATCTTCTGGAAAAGGCATTCCAAACACAAAAGGCTGTTTTACGTGTCTCTCCTTTGGAGGTGAGCTAGGCGGCTGTGCAATCACTAACACTGTTCAGCGATAAAAAGAAACGAACTGCTCTATGTAAAACATGGATGAGTCTGAAGCACATCATGTGAGCGAAAGACGCCTTCCACAAAAGACCCTACCGTGTAATTTCGTGGCTATGCCGCTCTAGAAAAGGTGAGACTCACGTATGGAGGGAGGGGGGCAATGGCTGCCTGGGGGACGGCCATGCGTGGGGGAGGCTGAATCTTCCAGATCGAGGGTCTGTCTCGGTCGCGGCTATGTGGGTGTAACTCACTGAACAGCACAATTAAGTTTCCCACATATTCCCGTAAGAAAAATGTATCTCAAAAGAAAAAACAAGACAACTGCTGAACTCTGGTCCCTGACAGGCATGGTGAAGGCAGGAGAGCACGCTCATGTCTGTGACTGATGCTCACGTCTGTGACTGACATTCACGCAGGCGTGGAAGGCTGTGGGGGACACCTGGACAAATGCAACACAGCAAAGCATGGCGACACGGCTGAAGTGGCGGGTATACAAGCGCGCACCACAAAATCCTGCAGCTTTGCTGTCCATGTGAAGAGCTTCATGATGAAATGGAGGGAAAAGAGCTTCAGCTTTAACTTACAATTTCACTCATTACGTTTACCAAAAGGGACAAATAATACATCGAGTACATTGTTGTGATCCTTCTATTTAACAGTGTAGTTCTACACTCCACTTTTCTGAATAAATCTCCACTTTATTTGAAACGAAAGCACATTTTGTCACATATTCTATAGCAATTATCACTAAGTAGTACTTTTCTCAGAGTCTCTAGCGATGTGCTATTCGGTTTATGGAGAAGTTTCTTTTAAGCCACTTTAGATACTTGAAACAACAGGCTGTATTCAGCCCCAGGGAGGCAAAGAAAATTGACAACCAGTGAAAAGCCTTAATTTCTTAAATCACTGCTGAGAGACAGGGTTACAGGAAACTTTGATAAGAACAGCACTGCTGACGTTCCCAAGTCCCCAGCTACTTGGCACTGTGGGAGGAAGGAGCAACTGTGGGCTGATGGTGGGCAAAGACCCCCGTGGTGCTGCAATGTGACGGGCACCATGATGAACTCTTGGTTTTAAAATTCAACTCCTAGCTCTGTCTGCTGAAAGGGCCTAGAAAGGACAACACCCAGCAGCAGAGGTGTATTCTTGGTGCCCAGGTCGTGGTTTCTACGTGCTGTTCCCCATCAGCCGGAAGCAGGGCTCCTCGGAGAAATGGCTGATTCCAGAAGTGGGGCAGGAAGTGAACACATGAGCCACAGACAGTGTGCAGTGCCCGAGAGTGGCACAGACATGAACGAATGGCAAGAGGACCCAGAAGCCAGCCTGGAGGGAGTCTTTCTGGCCATATCTGGGCCAAGTGAACATCAAAATAAATGATAACAGTCATGAACTCTAACCCCTAGAAGCCACACTGACATGAAATAAAGAGAAGGCCGAGTGGCAAATGCTGAAGAAATGATGAGTTGAGAAGCCTCCATTTTACAATCATCACAGCCAACACTAATGCAGGCAAGAATTCCCCAAAGATGCCAAGTCCACTGGGTCTGCCCCCGAAGATGCCAAGTCCACTGGGTCTGCCCCCGAAGATGCCAAGACCACTGAGTCTGCCTGTGGACTGACAAGATAGTCTCAAAGCACCTCCCCACAGGTGAGTCATTACTCATGGAGAGGAGGTGGCACTTCCAAGAGATCAGTTATCTCCACCATAACCCAGAACAACATGATGATGGGACAAAGTGACAGCATGTGCCTCCCACGGAGGATACTGAGAGGACAGAATCACTGTGCCGTGCTCCTGCCAAAGCGCACCTGAATCGAATCAAAGGAAACACCCGGTAAGACCCACTGAGGGTCCTTCCACAAATTGGCTTTCTCAAGACAAAGAGGAACTATTCTAGATCAATGGAGATTAAAGAGACACAACAATTAAATTCAACTTGTGATCCTGGATTTCAGGGGGTAGGGGAACAGGACATTGTTGGGGTAACTGTTTAAATTTGTATATGGATTGTAAGTTAAATCAGGTATTCAATGTTACATGTCCAGATTTTGATAATTATATAAATTTCAGTTATGAAGAAGAACAGCCTCCTTCTTAGGAGATAGACTCTGAAGAATGTAGAGATAAAGGGTCACAATAGTAACTTACTCTCAAATGGTTTGGTCAAAATAACAACAGGCAACACAATTATGATTGTCAATTTACAATACATTTTTAAAATATAAGTAGAGATAGAGTCTTGCTATGTCACCCAGGCTGGTCTTGAACTCCTGGCCTCCGGCAATCCTCCCACCTCGGCCTCCAAAAGTGCTGGGATTACAGGTGTGAGCAACTGTGCCCAGCTGAATCAATTTTTAAAAATAAATAAAACACAAACAATTGTATTATAAATTTAAAAAATAAGGAGATCTAGAGAGTGCTAAGGCAAACAGAGCCAATGTTGAGAATGGAAGGGCATCCAGGACTTCACTGCACTATTCCTTCAACTTTCTGCGCCTCTGAGGTCTTTCTAAATACAATCTGGGCAAGGAGACAGGGTATGCCCAACACACCCACTCGAGTCCTTCCTGAAAAGTCATCCATGAGGAAGGGTGCGTGTGCTTCCTCTCCTCAGCCCAACAGTGGCTACAAGTGACAGGGGATTTTCATTTTTAAAGCTTCTTTCTGATAACTAGGTCTTGTGTGAACTAAAAGAACTGAGCTCCAAAACACACACCGTCAACTCCATCTATCCCCAGACCTCTGGATTACCGGTCAGTCTGAGTCAGACCCAGACCTCTGGATTACCGGTCAGTCTGAGTCAGCGGAGAGGCATGAGAGGAAGAGGGAGAGAAAAACCGCCCAACATTCCTCCTGCTCCCAGCAGGCCAAGAACAGAGCGGGCTTTCAATAAGGGGGAAAACACCAATGTTTACAGTCCTCATGAAAATAACATCAAAGATGAAAAAAGGTCATTCTATTCTATCCTTTGAAAACATATCATCTTGCATAGTAAGAAAAGAAAGGCCGGGTGCAGTGGCTCACGCCTGTAATCCCAAAACTTTGGGAGGCCGAGGTGGGCAGATCACCTGAGGTCAGGAGTTCGAGACCGGCCTGGCCGACATGGAGAAACCCCATTTCTACTAAAAATACGAAAATTAGCCGGGTGTGATAGCATGCGCCTGTAATCCCTGAGGCAGGAGAATCACTTGAACCTGGGAGGCGGAGGTTGCAGTGACCTGACATCACGCCACTGCACTCCAGCCTGGGCAACAGGGCAAGACTCCATCTCAAAAAAAAAAAAAAAAAAAAAAAGAAAGGCATGAATCATTTGTTACTGCTTCAAAGACAAGCAGTGTTTATTTCTCTAAGTGATCACTATCTCTTATCTCATCACAAGATACAGAAAAAACATGTGCTAGAAAACCAGAGATAAAAACTGCCCTTGTGTTGCTTAAGTCTAACACTGAATGTGACTGCCCTGACTTCTGGGTCCTATGACTGCAAGGCTTCAACTTAGACTCCATTTATCAATTTTTAAAGACCTTTCAGTCTCATTTGTTTCCGAAATTAAAGGAAAAAACAACAACAACAAATAACGTTTTCTTCTGTCAGGATACACCAACCCTCCATGACCCATTTGAGTGCTTTCCTGAAGTTTCAGGTGAGTCAATAAACACACTAAGGACAAAGGAACACACCAGCAAGTGTACGTATTTCCTTGTCATGCTCCTGTCACACCGCAGGCCACAGGCTGCAGTCTCCATGCTCATCAGCAGAACGAGCAGCCAAACGGGCATGGTGCCCACTCTGCACTGTGACAGAGGCATGGAGAACAACTACATTGTCAATTCCAGGTGAGAAAAGAGGGCAGATATGGAGACAAAAAAATGTTCTTGGAAACTCCACTATTTCAAAAGAAAGAGTTGAAGACTAGGAGTATGTATCAACACTGTGAACCCTATGTACACTGTAGCACTCTGTACAGTTAGAAAGCCACGTTTCTCAGGGTGACAGGGGCAGAACTCCACATCAGGAGTCCCCACTGTAAGGAGCAGCTGAGTGGGACCCACCACCTCGGGGACCTGCACTGGCCACCACTGCGCCAGCCCTCACACAGCAGTCTGAGCTCCTTTTTGGGGTCGTCTTTCCTCCAGATGAAGCTCTTGGATTGAGTCTGACCCCATACACAAATAAAGTGGGGTCCAAAAGCCCTATCCAGGTTTAACTTCAAGAATCTTGCTCTAAAGATCTTCAATACACCATGGGTTCTTAATGTCTCTCCTCCATCAAAACACATAAAAAGATGCTTAAAAGTGTTGGATTTGGATTGGTATAATGTATTCTCTAAATTCACACAGTGTCCTTGTAAAGGAGACAAAACGTTTTAAACATCAGTACTGCGGTCACATTCCTGTAACCATGACAAGCAGTAAAAATCTCACACCAAGCAAGTACTCTGTGGGAAGAGGGGAGTTCTCCAGGCTATAAATAGCCCCTCTCTCCAAGGACAAGGGGCACGCAGACACCAAAGGCGCCTGGGCAGTGAATGCCAACATGACACGGCACCATTCTTCCTATTCCAAGGGGTCCCCAGTGAGAGAAACAACAGTCCACCCACCAGGACTTGGTGATTACCATAAGTGGAAGCAAGCAAGTGCAGCCTCCAAGTGCAGACACACCGAATGGCTTTTCAGCTGACACACCGAATGGCAGTTCCGGATTAATTCCCACACTGTCCACTCCACTCGTCCACACCCATCTCTGCACCCTTCAGCAGTGCAGAGCAGGAGGAATCACAGTCAAACAAAACCTCATGGTTGTTTTCCTGACACTCCCGCTTTCACAATGCAAGCAAACACACCCCCGAGCCACTGATACAGTTGCCAGTGAATCACACACTCTGCCTGCAGACGCCCATTCTGTTTGTGGAAACGTATTCACTGCACATTTGCGCTTAGAACTCAATCTGGGCCAAAAGTTCCCAGTACAGTCCCACTGGCCTCCTTGACTAACAAACTTCAAGGCAGCTGCATTGCTAACGTCACAAACCCTAAGCACACTTGGAGGCAGGTAAGAAGAAACACAAATAATCCTGCATCGGAATAAACATTCCATAAGGTCACAAAAAGAAAAGGTGCTCTACTATGCTAAACAGACACTGACAGAGCCTGGGCTAACAAGAGCTGAGAAAAGTATTAGCCCCTCAAGCTGGGCCCAGGTCAACCCTAATTGTAAGGGTCAGGAAACTGAAGTTAAGGTGGCACTATTCCCCACCACTAGTGGTCACCTGGAAACTCCACACACGGAAGCCAGCATGACATTGTGAAACAGGTCCAACCATGACACTCTCCAGCTTAGAACCTGCTGGATTTTCCCGCAGCCCACCAGGCCCTGGAGGCCCAGCCCCACAGGAAGCCACCCTCTATAAACACTGCCGGTTTCTGGAACTCTGAGTCTCCTGTCATGCACTTTCCTCCCCCAGCCCCCGCGCCCTCACTGCTTCTTTCTTGGTCAGCCTCCCGGGGACTCAGCTCCTCTTGGATAGGAGCTCTGGCTGTCGGTCACCACTGTGGCCGCAGGGCCTGGTGCAGACGGGATAAACGATGAAGAATGCCACCTGCGCGTCTGGACAGCGTAGAACCGCAATCAGCTTGCTTCAAAATCAGATGCTACAGCCTGGCTTTGGGGACGCCTTCCTTTCTAAGGCATAAGTGCGAGCGTTCGCTGCTGTGCGTGGAACTGCGGCCGGGAGGGAGTGGCGGCGTGAACGCCGGCGGCTGTAGAGACACACCGGCCGCGGCCCCATCACCCTGCAGGGGCCTGCGGCCGCCATCCCGGCCTGCCCCCGACCAGCTGTGCGACCTCGAACACGTCGTGAGCCGGCTTCCCGGCTCGGGATCGAACCCGAGGAGTGCTGTTTGGGGTCGCAGTGAGGCTAAGGGAGGCCGCAGGTGCCAAGCGTCCCGCCTGCCGGGCGAGGGCCAACCCGAGGCCACGCGCGAGGAGCGGCCGCAGCGACTGGACAAAACAAAGACAAAGACAAAGACGGCTCTTCCCCTGCCCGCGCCCCAGCCGCGACGGCAGCTCCCGCGGCCGCCAAACGGGCGTGACCCTCGAGGAGCCTCCGTCGGGGCGCTGCCTGCGACCGTGGGCCCAGGCCGCCCGCCGAGCCCAGCGCCCTGGCCGAAACCCCGACCCCGACCCCGACCTGGACCCACCAGCCGCCCCGCCCCCTTCGCGGCCCCGCCCGCCCCGGCGCCCTCACCAGCTCCGGGAGGCTCCTGCGCGGCGGCCACCGGGATGAGCAGCAGGAGCAGCGCGGCGCCACCGAGGCGCAACCTCCAGTACGGCGTCGGCCCGCGGGCCACTCCGGGCGCCATGGTCGGCCGGTCGCTCTATCAGTCAGTGGAGCGTTACAACTCCGACTCCAGCACAAGCGGTCTCCGCCCGGAACAGCCGCGGCGCCGGAAGTGGACCTGCGAGGTGGGGCCATGCGAGTGCGCAGCCTCAAAAAGCAGCTCGCCCCGCTCCCTCGCCATCTGCCCCGCCCCTCGCCAACGGGCTCGCCTCCCGGCGCGGCTGAGGTTCAGTGCGCCTGCGCGATAGAGGAAAGGAGCCTGGTAGCGAGGAGAGCGGCTGAGGCTCAGTGCGCCTGCGCGGCGCGGATGGGCGAGGCGTGACCGAGGGGCGAGGCGTGACCGAGGGGCGAGGCGTGACCGAGGGGCGAGGCGTGACCGAGGGGCGAGGCGTGACCGAGGGGCGAGGCGTGACCGAGGGGCTCGCCGCGGCTCCTGCGCCTGCGCGGCGGGGAACGGCGACCGGCTGAGGGGACTAGGGGAGCGCGGTGCTTCGGTGGCGGAGGTCACGGTGGCCTCCATCCTAAAGGGCTGCGGGCGTCCCGGACGGCGGTCCCAAGCGCTGCTCACGCTGCTCTTAAGTGAGCCCTGGACGAGGCGCGGTGGGCCCTCATAGTCCGCGCCGGCGCCCTCGCTCCACACCGCGGCGTCCGGCCCTGGGCTCCCGCCGATGTCCGCGTGGGACTTTTAGGGGATTTGTTTATTTTTGTACGTTAACCACACTAGAAACGGCCCCAGAATGGGCTGAAACGTGTGCTGCTGAAGCTGCCACCTAAACTCCCGAGAGAAGCGCCGTTTCTCCTCCATGGCTTCTCGCCGACGCCCTCGCTGCGGCCTTCCGGGCCCCTCGGTTGATAAAAGGACTAAATAGTGACGGACATTTTTAAGGCTACTTAAGAAATGGCAAAAATACATTTAGAGGTGTGAACCCGAACACACTGCGCGCTTTAAGCCCCGCGAGAGCCGGGGCCGCCCGCTTCTGTGCGCCCGTAGCTCCTTTCTCGGGTCCGGGATTCGCCGGTGCCGGGGACAGAAACCTCCTGCCTTCTTAGTTCATGACCCTTGTAGATGAACTTCCCTGTTTTCTGCACTGCTTAGACCAGAAGACGGGAAACCGTGACTGCCGCACCCTTCCCTGAAGCAGGCACTGCCCGTCGTCCATCAAACGCGAGGACTGCGCCCACCTCGTAGGAAGGACGCCGCGGTCCTGCTAAAAGCCTCCGCCTCTGCCTGCCCGAGGGCACCCTTCCCCTCCCCGCTTCCGAGGGCGGACTCCATTCCTCTGGAGCCGGTGTTTCCGGGTGGGCCAGCCTCCAACTGCCTTTGAATAACCCCCCCTTACATTAGATTCTGACCCTGTGGTGATTTTAGGTTGGGATTTGGGCGCCTGCAGATGGCTCCGAAGCCAGCCTCTTGTGATCCGAGCCACTTCTCTGGCACTCGGAGCGCTGGCACCCGCGGAGCGGCCTTGGTTCACCGGACCGCCTGGGAACCTGGCCGGGGTCTCTGGCAGCCTCCCAGGGCTGAGGTTCAGACTCTGTTCCGCCTACCCAGGTCCACACCTGATAGGGCTGGAGTTGAGGCTTGGTTTTAAGGCAAGAGTTTCGTTTGTTATTTCTCCAAAGAGTCAGCTGTTTGCAGGTGTGTGGTTAACACTATCCTTCGAGGTTAAGGTTTTGTTCGTCTTGCTAAAGTTTGCAACCTTTTTTGTCCTTCAGATTTGGAGAAGGGGAAAGCAGTTTCTCTTTGAAAAGAAGCAGCGAATCGTGGCTTAAGCAAAATTTGTAATCCTTAAAACTGGCCAGGCTCTGGAGCTGAGTTCAATTTGACATGTCTAAACTTTCTTCTTGAGTAACCAGATTTTCCCTTACAGTCTTTTGTCACTTAAGAGAACTCATAGGCAATCGTCCATCCAAAACAAGTCTTTCTCCTTCAGGGAGGACCCATCTTTGGAAACTCCAGCTGGTTTCCTGTGCAGTGCTTATGGTGCCACCTCTCGTTATATTTAGAAAAATGGTCTCACGTAACTTGAGAAAAAACATTTCAGTGACCAAAGCCGGGTACCATTGGAACACCAAGGTAATTTACTTGTTTGCTCAATTGGAAAACGCTGGCTCTAGGATAAAACGGAATCTTTGGGAGAGTTATTTTTTATGGTAGTTGGAAGCATCCAAAAGAAGTTCTAATAAAGGTATTTATGAGAGAAAAACAAAAATTATCTAAAATAATTTCTGAATTTAAAAAAGACTACTGAAATTTCTCCCCCTCCTCCCTCAGCTCCTTCTCTTTATCCTTTGTTGTCTGAATTACCTCGCCCAGACCCACCTTTCTTCCTCCTCCTCCTCCTGTTTTGGGGCCATTGCTCAAACAGCCAGTGTCTCTCATAGGGGACAACTATGTGCCCTAGTTCATGAGTTATGGTCAAAGGTAGAACTTAAAAGTATAATCAAGGAATTTCCTGATGCTCACCAGGACCCCACTGGTTTTCCCAGAGAATTTAAATACCCGAGTGTGTGACCCTGCCTCTACTTTGGGAAAAATAATTTTTTTTTTTTTGAGACGGAGTCTCGCTCTGTTGCGCAGGCTGGAGTGCAATGGCTCAATCTTGGCTCACTGCAACCTCCGCCTCCCAGGTTCAAGCGACTCCTCTGCCTCAGCCTCCCGAGCAGCTGAGACCACAGGCACGCACCACCACGCCCGGCTAATTTTTGTATTTTTAGTAGAAATGGGGTTTCACCATATTGGCCAGGTTGGTCTTGAACTCCTGACCTTGTGATCCACCTGCCTCAGCCTCCCAAAGTGCTGGGATTACAGGCGTGAGCCACCACGCCTGGCCATAAAAATTATTTAAAATAGTTAACACGAGTTCCCATTGCTGACATAAGCTTTTGCTGATAGAGCAGCCGTGTTTTCTGTAATAAATCCCATCTTGTTACAAGGTTCCATTCCTTGGAGTCAAAAAAAAGTTCAAAGGGTAGGTGTCACTAATACGCCTGTAACGGCACGTAAATCTCAGCCTATAGCTTTTCAACTAGGTCCTTTACAAGGGACTCACATTTTCCTTCTGGTTCTATCAGCTGCCAGCCATCTTATAAAAGGAGACTTCTTAGAATTACAATATCCACGTTTCTTTCTCCCAAAGGGGGAAGACGTATTTAGAATTAGATGAGAAAGCTGAGTTACTAGACATAAAAAAAGTTTCAAAATCTAACCCAATTGCGATCCCTAATTGCCCTAGAAGACACTGAATTATTGAATAATGAAGAATTACAAAACCTACTAAAGGCAGTACTTGATCAAATATGGTCAGAGTCTTCCACTGATACTGGAAGAATCCTCTTGGCTACCCCGATCAAAGTCCTTTAGTGTAGTGGACTTATTAGCACATCCTTCAGTAGTTCTGTGTGTGAAAGTGTTGATTTCTCTTTACCTTTACTTGGGAAGGCAGACAATACACACAGACAGCCATGCTCAGGGCTACACTGAGAGTCCAACTGATGCAAAGACAGTTGTCTTACATACTGACTTGTTCTTTTTTTTTTTTTTTTGACGGAGTTTCGCTCTTGTTGTCCAGGCTGGAGTGCAATGGCGCTACCTCGGCTCACTGCAACCTCTGCCTCCCGGGTTCAAGCAATTCTCCCACCTCAGTCTCCCGAGTAGCTGAGATTACAGGCATGCGCCACCATGCCTGGCTAATTTCGTATTTTTAGTAGAGATGGAGTTTCTCCATGTTGGTCAGGCTGGTCTCAAACTCTGAACCCCAGGTGATCCGCCCACTGCAACCTCCCAGAGTGTTGGAATTACAGGCGCGAGGCACTGGGCCCAGTCTTTTGACTTGTTCTTAAAAAAAATTTTTTATTACAATACATGGGCAGTTTACTCCTTTGCTCAGAAGATAAGCAAAGCTTTTATAGAAGATGGGATACATTCATTACAACAGCCCTAAAGGGACATAAAATTCCTAAAGAAAAACCTCAATTTTATAAAAAACAAAGTACTTGGGCCACTTAATATCTAAAGAAAGACTTTCTACTAATCTAGATAGACTGAAAGGAATTTTAGCTTTCCACCACCAACAACCAAGAAACAAAAGGATGTGGAGGACTGGCAGGATATTATAGAAATTGGATCCCAAACTTTTCTTTAAAGCTCAGTCCTTATACGCTCTCTAAAAACAGGACATGCCAGGACTTTAGAGTGGTCAGAAGAAAATACACCAACATTTGAAATGATCAAACGTGACCTTGCTAATGCTCCGCCTTTGGGGCATACAAATTATAACCTTCCATTCTATTATTTGTATAATACATGAAAGTGGTGGAGATGCTTTAGGGGTTCCTAAAACACTGTTATATGTAAAAATTGTTATTTAGAAACAGAATGCTTGTTCCCAAGTGCTGCAAAGACACAGCACTCGAACATAAATTTAATTCTCTCAGCAAGGCCATTTTTACTTTCTGCAGAAGGGGTGCTCATCACAGATGGAACAATGGCGAGAGCACACCTGAACAAAGGAGGGAAGCCATTTTCATCCCTGCCGCTGTTTGGCCCTGCTACTGTGTCCTGTCTCCATTGGCTGGAGCCAGACCTCACAATCTAAACTAAAACCCGATTGGCTAACAGTTTAAAACTTTTCTAAATAGGTAAAAGTAATGGAAAGACAAAGGAAAAGAGGAAGTTGCTTAATACCAAATAGGGAAGGGGCATAGGCTGCGAGCTGGAATGTGCCTGTGGGCAGGTCCAGCACAAATATCCTGGTTAAGGTTCAAGGACATAGAATGTACTACGTGCCCGTGAGCAAGTGTAACAGCTACACAGGCTAGAGCTTAACGAGCAGTTATTAGCACGAAGCCAGGAGGCTTGAAGGAAGTTAGTTTTTAAAAGAAACTATTATTTTTAACACTTATGATTTACTCTTTAACAAGAAGGGAAACTTTGAAGAGGAACTTTTTGCTTTCTACAAACACAAAGATCGAAACAGACAATCATTGCCACAGTTCCCTAAAATATAATCCAGGAAAACCATTATAAGGACATTTCCCTTTACCCGAGGCCCTTGTGAGTTATGACCATTAGATGCCATGCTGTTGCCACCCTCAGAAACATACAAACATGTTCTGATAACAATTTACTTGTTTTCTCACTGGGCAGAGGCATTTCCATGCAGAAGAGCACTGCCTTAGCAGTGAGTAAAATTGCTGTAGAAAAAGGTATTGCAACCTGGGGAGTTCCTCTGGAACTTGTAGCAATAGAGGAACTCACTTCGCTGGACGGATGATTCAATCAGTATGTAAACTTTGGCCCATCCTCCAGCATTTCCATTGCGCTTACCACACCCAGTCATCTGGGTTAGTGAAATGCACCAATGGAATAATCAAAACTCAGTTGGCAAAATTAACCAAGGCTTTTCAAATTCCTTGGTCAGAAGTTCTTCTACTGGTTCTGCTTAATCAGAGGTCGACCCCTTTAGGTAAACACCAGTTATCTCTGCTAAAAATTAGGCAGACCCATGAAATTATCTCCAAGAAACTGTACGTCTATGATATTAAAGGGAGACATATTCAGCTATTGCAGTGCCCTTGCAAAACATTAATGAAAAATTATAATTGGCAAAAATAATCTTTTCACAGTGAGCTCCTGGGAAACAAAAATTTCAAGGACCACAGACTTCAACCAGGAGATTTTGTCTATTGGAAATGACATTTTTTAAAAAGTCTCTGCAACCTGCTATGGACCTTATCAGGTACTCCTGACCAGCCTTCACCATAAAATTAGAAGACGACCCTTGAATTCACATCTCCCATCTAAAGAAATCTGAGCCTCGGCTGGGCGCGGTGGCTCACTCCTATAATCCCACCACTTTGGGAAGCCAAGGCAGGTGGATCACCTGAGATCAGGAGTTCGAGACCAGCCTGGCCAACACGGTGAAATCCCATCTCTACTAAAAATATAAAAATTAGCCAGGCATGGTGGCGCACCTGTAATCCCAGCTACTCAGGTGGCTGAGGCAGGAGAATTGCTTGAACCCGGGAGGCAGAGGTTGCAATGAGCCGAGATTGTGCCACTGCCCTCCAGCCTTGGTGACAGAGTGAGATTCCATCTCAAAAACAAAGAAAACTGAGCCTCCGAAATGGGCTCTTGTACCAGAAGGTGATACCCTGGGACAGCTGGGACAGTGTTCTTTGGGTTATGCCGGTCACAAGGTCAAATATTTCATACCGTTTCACACTCACCAATCTTCCTCATCTACAGTCTTGTCAGATTCATCCTGTATTCCATTGGTATCATCATTTAGCTTCTGTCTTTCTGCCATAACTGGGTATTGAAGGCGTTACTTGACACGTAGAGGCCCTCACCAGTTACACACAAAAGGCCTTAAGATATAGCCAGGTATCTCATGATTAAATGATAAACTTACCTGAGAAAATCTGTATTATAAAACCATATGGCTTTAGACATACTCACCGCAGCTCGAGGGTAACCTGTGCTATCGTAAAACTAAAAGCTGTGTCTGTATCCCAGATAAACCAAATAACATCACTAAATTCATGGCTGATGTGAAATCCACATAAACCAACCTTTCAGAGCCAAAACCTCCTCCAAACAACTGGCTAAATAGCTGGTTGGGATCTTGGCAAAATTAGTGACAAAAACTGTTAACTTATTCTAGAAATTACAATCATTTTTTACGTTTGTCCTGTTTGCTCAGGCTCAGCATAAAGGGATAAAGTGGATGCAAAGGGACCTTAGTGACAGCAAACTGTGTCTCTGACCCACGTCTTCCAGTTCAAATACTTTACATCTTCATTGGGATCTTCGATTGTATCAAAAGATGTTTAAAAAGCCATTTGCAGGCCAGGCACAGTGGCTCATGCTTGTAATCCCAACAGTGGGAGGCCAAGGCAGGTGTATCACTTGAGGTCAGGAGACCAGCATGGCCAACATGGTGAAACCCTGTCTCTAGTAAAAATCCAAAAATTAGCCGGGTATGGTGGCACACACCTGTAGTCTCAGCTACTTGGAGGCCAAGGCAGGAGAATCTCTTGAACCCAGGAGACAGAGGTTGCAGTGAGCTGAGATCGCACCACTGCACTCCAGCCTGGGCCACGGAGTGAGACTACATCTGAAAAAAAAAAAAAATCAGTTTGCAGAAACAGAATAAACACAAGTCTAGTTTAGAACTATGCCCCTGAAACAATACAACCACACAATGCTAATTTAATGGTATTTGATGGACATTAGGTGTTTGTAAACATTAACCAAAACTCGGTGAATATCACCACATTTTAAACAATGCACAATGGCATTTTAAAATATAACTAAGTTCTGGGACAACTTAACAATGCAGAAGTTCAAAAAATGCATGGTATAACCCCAGTTCCTGTTTTAACCGCATGGAAGTCAAGATTTAAAAAGAGGAAATGGGAGGCATTGTGTAATTTAACATGTCTGGAATCCAAAGATACATATTCAATTGTCAAAGAGCTTCAAGCTCAGAGGAATGACCCAAACGGCACATTGTACAGGAAGTACAACCGTTATGACTCTTTACAGAAACAGGATGATTACTTAGAGCAGTCTGGAATTAAAAGTGCATATGTCTTTCCATGAAGAAAGATGGTTAGGGAATTAAACTGATACAGTCACAATGGTATCAACTTAGGAGAAATGACAGCCGAGCCCCAGAGCAATGGAAAGGGCTGTCCACAGGACCAGACAGCCACAGTGGGCTGGGGCCAGAGAGGGGAAGTTCCAGGGTCCCCACCTAGTTGTGCATATTGGAGTCACCTGCCAGGGATTTCCACCAGCGGGTTTATTTGGTGGTTAAGTGTCTGTGCAGTTGGATTTTTTTTGTATGTGGTCATTATGAGTACATTCCTTAGTGGGTGACTTCCAGAGAGGCTGCATAAAAAGAGTGAAGCTTCTGGCAACCCATTAAACCACCAGATGCTTAACACTGGGGAGAACAAGGAGAGCACCTGAAGGTCCCAGACTTTGGACTCACTTTGGAAGGGGCTAGACAGTGTGGAGCCTTGGACAGGCAGGGATCAGCAGGGTCTGGGGTGAGGCATGGAGGGAGGGAGAGAGGGCTGGGCCCACAGGCCACAGCCCATTTCCCATGATGGGACTAAGCAGCGGTGTGGAACCTGCACCCCTGGTATGTGGGAGGACTCCTGTGGGGCTGCACACGGTTGGCAGCTTCATGGCTTCAGAGCTGGTCTGTGCCACGCGAGATCTCTTGTGCTCAGGAGTTTGTCCTTGACCAAGGCACAGAGAGTTCCGGTTGCCCATCCCTTGCAAGCAGTTATGATTCTCAAAGCACTTCCTGTGCCAGCCTCTCTGCATCCTCCCAGGGCCAAGCTTTAGTGATCCCTCCACCTATACTTTTGACAAGACAAAACACAGCTTGTTCCAGGTCAGGCAGCCAGTAAGAAGTAGAGCTGGACGTGGACTGGGGGGGCTCATCCTTGGAGTCCGTGCTTCTTCCCCATGTCTCAGGAGCTCCCCTCATTTCTCTGGAACAAGGTTGGAACGTCAAAAAGACCTTCTGAAAACTGGCAGGAAAATGTCAGAAAAATCACAAAATGGATTGAGGGCATCTGACAGTTTGTCTTGCTAGAGGCACGTCTGGGGGTGATCCAGGCCCTTGCTGCAATCACTGAGATGGATCTCGAGCAGGGGCACGTGTCCTAGGACCCTGGCTCAGGGCCTATTGCCCACTGCATGGTGATATACCAGCACACTGAAAGAGAGGGAGTTGCCACAGAGAAAGTCCAAGACGCGTGGGCAGCCAAGCGAGGAGATGGGAGGAAACCTCAAACCCACCTCCCGAGGGGCTTGGGGATGGTGTTTTTCAGGGGTCTGGGCAGGTGATGGGGTCTGAGGCGTGGGGATCGCTGATTGGTGAGTATGAGTGGTGAAGTCACGGGATAGGGGATGAAGAAACCACATTCCTGAGCTGAGTCGGTTCCTTGGTGGGGCCTTCAGACCAGTTGGCGTCAGCTGTTCTGCTGGAATTCAGGGTGTGGGAAACACCTTAAGCAATTCTTGGCTTAAAAGGTCCAGGCTCAGAGATTCCACCTGTAGGAACAACGGGGAGCAGGTGATCCGTGTGCCTCGTGACTCTTGTTAAGTTAGCAGCTGCAGTGAGTTGGGTGGTGGTGCCTGCCACACCCTGGTCAGTGCCTAACTCCAATTCTGCCCAAAGCCTGCGTTGGAATTCTCAGTAACCCTGTGAGGAGGGTTTCACTCAGGGCTGGCATCTGATCTTTGCCGGACGTGCTCCAGGCCAGGCCCTCTGATTGCCTGGGTCACCTGAGGTCACCCTCCCCCATCCCTCCTTCCTGAGAGGGCATCACCACCCCGCACACACCCCTGTAGACCATACCTTGATGTCAATTTTTTTTTTTGAGATGGAATCTAGCTTTGTTGCCAGGCTGGAGTGCAGTGGCGCAATCTCGGCTCACCACAACTTCCGCCTCCTGGGTTCAAGCCATTCTCCTGCCTCAGCCTCCTGAGTAGCTGGGATTATAGGCACGTGCCGCCACACCAAGCTAATTTTTGTATTTTTAGTAGAGATGGGGTTTCACCATGTTGGCCAGGGTGGTCTCGATCTCCTGACCTTGTGATCTGCCCACCTCGGCCTGCCTCCCAAAGTGCTGGGATTACAGGCGTGAGCCACTGCGCCCAGCCAGTGTCGACAATTTGACCTCCATCTCCTAGCTTTGTCTAGTGGTTCTCAAACTACAGCGTGCATCAGTATCCCTGGAGGACCTGCAAAGCCCAGATTGCTGAGCCCACCCGGAGTGCTGCCGACTAGCTGGTCCAGGGCCAAGCCAAGAATGCGCCTCTGACAGGTTTCTAGGTGAGGCTTGTTCTGCTGCCAAGGCCAGCCTTGGGGAACTGAGGCTCAAGGCCAGCGGGTGTCCACCCTGGCTGCACAGCAGCCTCCCCGAGGAACACTGAACACCAGTCACGGCAGCCCTTCTCCGACAGGGCAGGGGCTTTTAAAGCCCCAGGTGCAGGCTGAGTGGGGACCCCTGAGCTGGGAAGTGAGCGGTGTTGGAGCATCTGGCCATTTCTAGCTCCTCCCACCTGCCCAGGTAAAGTCTCCCAGGCATATACAGTAAGAGGTTATCACACAGTTAGAAGTTCGTTTTTGGTTTGTTTGTTTGTTTGCTTTTTTTTTTTTTTTTTTTTTTTAAGATAGGGTCTTTCTCTGTCACCCTGGCTGGAGTGCAGTGGTGCAATCACAGCTCACTGCAACCCCCAACTCCCAGGCCTAAGCCGTCCTCCTAACTCAGCCTCCCAAGTAGCTGGGACTACAGGCATGTGCCACCACACTACTAATTTTTTTTAATGTTTAGTAGAGATGGAGTCTCACTGTTCAAGGCTGGGTCGCCAGGTGTGCTGTGTGACTCTTGTTAAGTTAACAGCTGCTAACTTAACAGCCTCAGGTTCAAGGCCGATCTCGAACTGCTAAACTCAACCAATCCTCCCACCTTGGCCTCCCAACGTGCTGGGATTACAGGCGTGAACCACCGTGCCTGGCCACAGTTACAATTTTAAAGTAGGGGACCTAAAGCAGATGCCACCCACATGTGCCCATTTGCAGGTCTGCAGTGGCCCTGGCAGTGTGGCCAGCTGTGTGACTTGCCCAGACAAACTAAGGGGTTTCCCAGGACAAAGGCCTTCCTGTGCTAGAACTGAGACGTTCACCAACTGCAACCACGGCCAGCAGCCTGCTTGTGTCCAGAGCTCTCAGGCAGGATCTGTGTGGAGCTTGGTGCTGAATTCTGCTCTGGGGCCGTGAGCAGCTTTGGCACAGCCCAGGGCTGTTTCCACACGTCCACTAAAGCAGTACTGGCTCCCTCCCCTCTGAGTACCCCAGTGGGAGGCAGAGGGGGCTCTGTAGACAGCCAGAGGGGAGGTGTAGACACAGTTGGAGGAGAGGTATAGACAGCTGGGGGGGAGATGTAGATAGCTGGAGGGAAGGAGTAGATGGCTGAAGGGAAGGCATAGACACAGCTGGAGGGGAAGTGTAGGCACAGCCAGAGGGGAGGTGTAGATGGCTAGAGGGGAGGTGTAGATGGCTGGAAGGGAGGTGTAGACGGCTGGAGAGGAGGTGTAGACAGCTGGAGGGGAGGTGTAGACTGCTGGAGGGGAGGTGTAGACTGCTGGAGGGGAGGTGTAGATGGCTGGAGAAGAGGTGTAGATGGCTGGAGGGGAGGTGTAGACTGCTGGAGGGGAGGTGTAGATGGCTGGATAAGAGGTGTAGATGGCTGGAAGGGAGGTGTAGACTGCTGGAGGGGAGGTGTAGATGGCTGGAGAGGAGGTGTAGACGGTTGGAGGGGAGGTGTAGACTGCTGGAGGGGAGGTGTAGACTGCTGGAGGGGAGGTGTAGATGGCTGGAGAAGAGGTGTAGACGGCTGGAGGGGAGGTGTAGACTGCTGGAGGGGAGGTGCAGACGGCTGGAGAAGAGGTGTAGACGGCTGGAGGGGAGGTGTAGACTGCTGGAGGGGAGGTGCAGACGGCTGGAGAAGAGGTGTAGACGGCTGGAGGGGAGGTGTAGACTGCTGGAGGGGAGGTGTAGATGGCTGGAGAAGAGGTGTAGACGGCTGGAGGGGAGGTGTAGAATGCTGGAGGGGAGGTGCAGACGGCTGGAGAGGAGGTGTATACGGCTGGAGGGGAGGTGTAGACTGCTGGAGGGGAGGTGTAGATGGCTGGAGAGGAGGTGTAGACGGCTGGAGGGGAGGTGTAGACTGCTGGAGGGGAGGTGCAGACGGCTGGAGAAGAGGTGTAGACAGCTGGAGGGGAGGTGTAGACTGCTGGAGGGGAGGTGTAGATGGCTGGAGAAGAGGTGTAGATGGCTGGAGGGGAGGTGTAGACTGCTGGAGGGGAGGTGTAGACGGCTGGAGAAGAGGTGTAGACGGCTGGAGGGGAGGTGTAGACTGCTGGAGGGGAGGTGTAGATGGCTGGAGGGGAGGTGTAGATGGCTGGAGGGGAGGTGTAGAGCTGGAGAGGAGGTGTAGATGGCTGGAGGGGAGGTGTAGATGGCTGGAGGGAGGGCAGACAGGTACCCGCTTTCCTGCTTTGCCTCTGCCCTGGCCAGGCTCCGCCGCAGGCACCTCTTTGGTGGGGCCACCACCGTTTACGGAAATGCACCTAGGATTTGGGACAGGGCCTCAGAGCGGGGCTCTGTATAGACCAGCAGGTGAGGAAGGAAAAGGGAAAACAGAACCTGCCCCATGGTCTGAAGCCAGCTGTGTGCCTGTGTGGCAAAGGTCAGCGGGCAGGACAGGGCCCACGTGTGCCTGGCCACCTTGCCAGTCGGGGGAATACAGCGGACACAGTGCCCAGTTTCCATGGACAGCCTGTATTGAAGTTTTATTTTTTTTCTATACACGTGATTGATTAACAATATAATTAATGGGATGTCATTTTATACCCTGACAAGTTTAAATGTAAATAAATTGGCACCACCTTTAATCAGACTGATGTCCTGACTTGCACAGGAAACACGCACCTAACCTCACCAACCTCAAGCCCTCCCTCCTCAAGTCTCCATGCAAAGACTGTGCCAGTCAGAGTGGAGCTGTCCCCCCGACGAGCCCCCAGAAGCACCCGGCCGGCCATGGCTGTCATTTTGAGGGCGGAAAATAACTGGATTTCTGGTTAATTGGTGACATCCTCAAGAGCTGTGGCAAGCCATGTCTCGGCCGCGTGATGGGGCAGACATGGTGGGTCCTGACGGCCTTGTCTTCACCAAGTGCTCCTAACTCTCAGCAAACTTGGGGTTCATGACCGTCGTGGTGGCGCTCTTGAAAAGGGGATTATCCTGGTGGGAAATGCAAACAGGGGCTTGTGAGTGTGGGAGGTTTTCAGAGCAGAATCTTTCTCCCTGAGGACACTCCCCGCATGGAAGCCGTCACTTTGAGGAAGAGCTAGACGTGGGGCAGCCCCCCCAGGGTCCCAGCACCGGCAGCCAAGCTCACCCACAGCGGCGGACGCCCAGAGGACAAGCTGCCTGGGGAGGCCGGGGTGCAGCCACACACGGGTGTCCACGGCCTCCCGCAGCAGGAGGTCGCATAGTGTGGGACGCACGTGCCCCTCTGCGTGGGACCCCCAAGGACGGCCACTTACATTGTTCCACTGGGACTTGAGCTTCTCCTTCTCAAAGCGCCTGTACTCCCGGAGGTCGCTCAGGTGGATCAGAGCCTTCCAGATGACCAGCAGGAGAATGCCGATCAGCACGATGCCTGCCACGGTGCCCCCGACGATGGCGGCGATGTTGGGGCCTGCCACACACTCTAGGGAAGAAGCAGCACACCTGAGCGTCAGTCCAGCCCCATCTCACTGAGCCGTGTGCCCACAGGTCCGAGGTCACCCCACAACACAGCACTTAGAGAGACGGAGGTTCCCAGGGCCCCGGCTCACCATCCATCACCATGGCCAGGGGTCAGTGAGAACCTGGCCCAGCCCCTGCTGGATTCCAGGCCAGGCCCTGTGGTTCCAAATGAAACCTAAGGGCCATTGCCACCACCCCTGCTGACAGAGAAGAAGGCAGGGCCAGGGTACCGGGCAGCCAGGACAGAGTGCTAATACTGGGGGGTAGGACACAGTGCGAGGGACCCCGCTCTCCTACAGCAGAGTTCAGAACCAGGCTCAGGGTCCCTGCTGGAGTTCACTCCCCATACTGTGAAAGTGATTTGTGGTCGTCAAGGACAAGACCAGAGACCAGAGCTCAGCAGGTGAGGCCGGTGCCAGGATGAGCAACGCAAGGTCCTGGTTCCCACGGCAGCTGTGCCCACCTCCTGAGCATGGGGACTGTGGGCCATAGTGGGCCAGGCCCACAGCTGCTGACCCTGGGACAGACACTAGCGTTCAGTGCAGTCCCTGGCCTGGTCTGGCATCCTCACTCCCTGTACCCCTCCTGCCATCCTGACCTGCACCCTCACTCCCTGTGGTTGCTCCTGCCATCCTGATCTGCACCCTCACTCCCTGTGCCCCCTCCTGCCATCCTGACCTGCACTCTCACTCCCCGTGCCCCCTCCTGCCATCCTGCCTTTCCTGGGGGACCTGCCTTCCTTCACCTGTCCTCAAAGGTGAAGTGACTTGGCCAGGATTGCACAAACCAGACGTGACCCAAGTCTGTCCCTCAAAGTGGCCCGCAGGGGTTCCTGCCCTGGCAGGTGGGGGTCTGCAGCCCCAGGCCCACATGTGGGTTGTGAGCTCCAGGCATGTCACCTACAGGCTCAGAGACCCCCGCCGCCTGCCTCGGGTCCCTTCCTGGTGAGGGAGGAGCTCCCAGGTCTCAGTTCTGCAAGAGTCCTGGCCGGCTGCTGGCCATGCCTGATGGAGTCCGCCAGCGGCCCCCCAGCCCCAGCCCCTCTGCCTCTCAGGAGCCTGTGGAACATGAGACCTGAAGAAGCAGGGCCAGTGTCACCAAGGTCACCGTGGGGCTGGGCCTGGTTCCAACTGGAGCTGAATGAGACAGGGTCAGTGCCACCAAGGTCACTGTGGGGCTGGGACTGGTTCCGACTGGAGCCGAATGAGACAGGGTCAGTGCCACCAAGGTCACTGTGGGGCTGGGACTGGTTCCGACTGGACTGGAGCCGAACGAGTGATGGGGACGGTGGTGCCTGGTGGCCCTGGGCCCCTCCAGGGCTGAGAGCCGAGCACCAGGATCTCCCAATCCCCTCAAAGGAGCCTCACGCAGCAACCTGACCGCGGGCCACCCCTGGGGACCTGCAACTGCAAGCCTTGCCCCATGAGGCATCCAGCGGGAGATGGCCCGGGCCGTGTGGCATGCTGGTGGGCCTGCCCGGTGTGGAGCAGTGGTGCCCCCAGGGAGCAGGCCGTCTGCTGCCCAGCTTGATGTGGGGTCAGGTGAGGAGGGGAGGGAAAGGGGAGGCTGCTGGGGGTGAGGGGACCGGCCTCTGGCCTCCTTGCAATGCCAAGGGCATCCCGCATGGCTCATCCACCCTGCTGGGCCCACAACACTGGAGGTGAGATCCTCCTTCCGCACCACCCTCGCCTCTGCGGAGACCCCGCAGCCGGAGCTCTGGAGCCGGTCCCCGCTGCACCCCAGCGGCCTCACCTCGGCTCTCATCCACATAGATGAGGTAGCGGTCCATCCCGTCCTGCTGCTCCAGCGTGTAGGCCACCCAGCAGCCCTCTGAGTCCCTCTCCTTGCAGGTCCTGCCCTTCACGGGGTTGTTCGACAGCTGCAGGCCCGGACACGCCGCGCTGCAGTTCTTCCCAAAGGGGCCCTTTTCGAACTTCAGGCACTCGGCGCAGGAGCTGCGGGGAGCCAGGTGTGAGCATCGGTGCCAGGGTGTGCGGGGGCTCCGGCAACGGGGGCTCGGGCTTGGGTGTGTGTCCACCAGGGGGGGCAGGTGGGGTTGGGGCGCCCTCAGGCCAAGGAGGGGGCCCAAGTGGGGCAGATGCGGGTGCAGCGGGTGAACTGGAAGCCTGATCCCAGGGCCCGCGGCAGGTGCGCACAGGAGGGAGGAGGGACACAGGGGCACGGCGGCCGCGGAGGGCCCCTCAGTCCAGACGCACCCGCAGAGAACCCCGCGGTGCAGAGGTGCTCACTGGGGTCCCCGAGTGAGCCCGGCTGCTGGGTAGGTGGCCGGGGAGTGGGGATCCCTGCCCGCCCTGCCTGCTCCGCCTGCACTCACATGTACTTGCCACAGGGTGAGGGGCAGCCGGGGCACTCCTGGCACAGAGGCAGCTGGTAGCCTGAATGGCACTCGCATACGTTGCAGCGGCACCGGCCACGACCACTACACTCAACACGCCGCGGGTTCAGGCAGCCCTCAGTGGTCCTCTCGCACTGGCACGCTGAGCCCTCAAAGCCCGGGTGGCAGCGGCACTTCCCGCAGAAGCAGAGCCCCCTCCCTGGAAGACGGGGCAGCACGGCTAAGCTCCTGCTTGGCCTGGGAACCGAGACCCGCCCGAAACCCCACTGCGGTTGCTCCCTCCGGCCCGCCTGCCTCCTCCAGCCTGGGGGATGTTCCTGAGCAAAAGGCATGGGGCCACTAGCCAGGCCCTTCTGCCCCCGCCAGCCACGTGGCCGCCTCCTGGCCAGTCTGGACCTCCCCTGCCCTGCTGTGAATGGGACCTCAATAGGGCTATGACCGTTCCTCCTGTGGGCCCTCCCCACAAGGACGCCTTGTCCTCATGGACACAGAAACTGAGGCAGGGCGGGGTGCAGGGCCATCCAAGTTCCTGCTGACGCCCGGTGGCTGGGCGAGACTTGCACTGTCTGTCCTCAGGATCCCCCCTTTCTGTTCCACTCGTTGAATGGTCCAGAACGCACCCCCCAACACCAAGTCTGTGCCGCAGGACGGCCGTTGTCCAGCAGGGACCCACGGGCTCACCCGGGCCGCCGCAGACCTGGCCGTTGTAGCGCTCACAGTTGATGGTGTCACACTCGCAGTACTGCCCGTATATCAGCTTGCCGGGGACGTCGCTGGTGTGGCACAGGCACTGCCCGCAGACACAGTCCCCCAGCCCTGAGCAGATGATGGAGTTGTTGTCCTTCCGGCAGCTTCCTTCCAGCTCCTGGCTGCTCCGGCCCTGTGTCTGGCACTCACAGTTTTTCCCAATGTAGCCAGTGTCACACCTGGGGACAGGAGGGGCCCCAAGGTCAGGCTCCCCCCAGTGATGTGGGACAAGGGACAGCCGCCCTGTCCTCCAGGCCCCTTGCCCTTGGTGGAGAACACCCCTATGGCACATTTTGCTTTCCTCGAGGCCTACTGAGCACTTGCCACGGACTAAATGTGCTCAAAACGTGCAGGGGCCCCGCGTTCCCTCCCCAGGATGTCCCGAGGGGAAAGCAGACACCTGGCCTTGGCCTGCGCATGCAGTGGCTCGGCAGGCTCACTGTGGAGCTGTGTTGCAGCCATGCACATGGCCTGTGCTGCGATACCGGTGCTCTGTGAGTGGCTGGTGTCTGCTCCTGCGTGCCCCACATGGTGGCCAGTGGGGACTCGGCACTGCCTCCTGCCACAGCCCCGCCCTCCCTCCTGCGTTCGTGCACTGACAGGCCAGGTTGTGGGAGAATGCAGGGACAAGGGGTTTTTACAGATGTGGAAGCTGGCATCAAGCCGCTGGCAGGCAGGAGCCACACACACCCTGAGGCATCCTCAGAGACGGCACTGCCACGGGCTCTCCTGCTCCCCAGAGGAGGAAGCTGCAGGACCGAGTGTCTGAGTACCTGTGGCAGGGCACCCCCCGACACCTGCCAAGTGTTCCGACTGAGTCACCCCTACAGTCCCGTGAAGAGGCCGCCCCAGGGCTGCACACCCAGGACAGTGGGCGGGGTGGCCACTGAGGCACGAGGACAGCAACAGAGACCACCAAGACCACAGAGACCATCATTGTCCTGAGATATGGGAGGAGGCTGGGGGCAGCAGGGACCTGAAGGTGAGGAAGGGCACTGCCACCAGGACGTGGATTGGCACTGCGGTCAGGACAGGGGAGGAGGTGACCAGAGCAAAGGGGGCAGAGTCCTGGGAGGTCAGCCTAGCAGCTCTGGCCAGGCAAGCAAGGAAAGGGGGACAGCCATCCAGCCCCCGGGCAGGCCGCCTGGCTGAGTGCCATGTGAACCTCCCCACTGGGTCCACCTGTCCCCCACTTCTCCCTGAGGTGGGGTGCCCACGCCTGGCAGGGGGTGTGCACGCCCAAGAGGTGGCCTATGGGGCCCAGGCTCCCAGAAGCCATCACCTGTCCCAGGAGGCTCTCTAGCCACCCATGCCCCAGGGCTGCCAGCCTGATGGCCTTGGGTCCCCAAGGTCAGAGAGAAGCCAGCTCCTAGGGTCAAGGAAGGTCGGGCAGAGAAAGTGACCCACTCAAGGCCATGGGCACGCCCAGCGGGGACTCCTTGTGCCCCTGAGATGGGCCTCCATCCTCTGGTGAGGGGGTCCTCCTGCCCACAAGTCCCCTGCCTTGGGTCCTCCATGGCCAGAGAGTGTAGAGTACAGGCTGGCATTGCTGGTGCCCTGGCTCAGGAGCACGGGTGAGGGCTTGCCGAGGGGTTCTGGGTTCCAATCCCAAATCTCCCCACCTCCTGCAGAAGGGGGCCCCCAGGATGCCTGCTCCGTGGGGTGGGGGAAGGGATGGAGCCACCTGCACCCACCTCACCTGCCGACACCTGCCCTGTGGGGTGGGGCTCGGGGATGGTTCAACAGGGACCTGCGCCCGCCTCACCTGCAGATGCCGCACTCCAAGAAGCCCTTGCCATGGCAGAGGCTGCGGTCTCTGCTCTGGTCCCGGCACCGGCACTCACACTGGGGAAGAACCTGCACGGTCACTATGTCCGTGAAGCCCAGCGCCCGGATGACAAACGACTGCTCCTGGATGCACTCTGTGGCCGTGACCTTCACCTGGAAGGTGATCTGCAGGGCAGTGCTGGGCTCAGGTGGGGACCCTCGGTGGCCAGGGTGGCAGCCCAGCTCCCAACCCTCACCTCCTGGCCTCTGCAGGGGTCCTGGGGGGTTCAGCGTGGGGAGGAAGGGGTGACCAGGAGCAGGAAGAGCTGATGCTCAGATCCGAGAGCCAAAGTCAGCCGGCAAGGAGGTGCTCTGCCCGCACTCCCGCACTGGCCGGCACCAGGATCTCCCCGGCCACACATCAGCAGAGACATGTGACACGCAGACAGCAAATCAGGAGAAGCTGAGCACACTCCCACTCAGACCACCCAACATGAGGGAAACGTTCTGGTGAGAATCCATGGGACAGCTGGGCGCCGCGGCTCACGCCTGTAATCCCAGCACTGTGGGAGGCCGAGGCGGGTAGATCATCTGAGGGCAAGAGTTTGAGACCAGCCTGGCCAACATGGCGAAACTCTGTCTCTACTAAAAATACAAAAATTAGCCGAGCGTGGTGGCACACGCCTGTAGTCCCAGCTACTCAGGAGGCTGAGTCAGGAGAATCACTTGGATTGTAGTGAGCCAAGATCGCACCAGTGCACTCCAGCCTGGGCGACAGAGCGAAACTCCATCTCAAAAAAAAAAAAAAAAAAAAAAATCCACAGGCAACATTTACCAAGAAACATGTTTGAAGGAATTCCAAAGTCATATTAAGAAAATGCAATGAAAGCAAGTGTCTTGCTGAATATTATTTCACAGCTAGCAAAAAAAAAAACAAAAAACAAAAAACAAAAAGAAACAACAAATGATTGGATAATAAACTTAAACCTGAAAGATTAGAGAAGGAACTCAGTGTCCATTCCTAACCACCTGTGTGGCCCATGCCTTAATGTTTCTGTCAAAAAAACAGAATGAAACACGCAGAAAATCATGACAACTAACCCTACCCAGGTTTGCCGTTTGCGCCTGTTCTGTGTGTCCGGCGTCTGCCCCCAGGGGGCGCAGCCATCACTCCATCCCTCAGTCTGCAGTGGCCTGACCCAGGGATTTGGGCTCCAGGTTGATGAGTAGGACTCTTGGGGGCCAAGGCGTGTGTGAAGAACCCTCCCAGCACCCTCTCACTGAGAAGCACCCTCTCGGCACCCTCTCACTGACGTTCCTGACATCAGCTTCACAAGGAAAGCGTCTGGCCTCGGCAGAGAGGATGTGAAGGAAAGAAACAGGGTCCTTCCAGTGGATGCTGCCTGCTCCCAGACAGCCTCTGATGCCTGTGTGCCCCTCCCTGCCCCCGTCAGAGTGCTGGGATGGGGACCCTGGCTCCTTCTGGCTGTCCCCAGGACCCCTCAGTGTGCTGGGATGGGGACCCTGGCTCCTTCTGGCTGTCCCCAGAGCCCCTCAGCAAGCTGGGATGGGGACCCTTGTGGCCAGGCTCACCGGGACATTGATCTGCACGCCATCACAGTCACCTCTGGGCTGGTTCCTGTGCGTCACTCCATTGCTGCAGAAGGAGTCGTAGGTGACTTTCAGGGTGTCGGGGAGGGCGTTGTGATCCAGGAAGACCCTGGAGGAGAGTTTCTGCGGGCAGAGAGCGGTTACTCTTGGGGGCGAGTGTTTCTGTTGTCCTGGCCCTGCCTGGCCCAGCGGTTTAGACCCGTCTCCACTTCTCCTCTCAGTGCAAGTCCCCAGTGTCAGCTAATGACACAGAGGAGAGCACAGCAGGATGTGCTGAGGATGGCAGGGCTGCCAGGGCCACAGTCCTGCCCTCGAGACAGCCTGACCACAGGGACTAGCATGGAGCCAGGGTGTGAGCCTCAGGGGTGGGAGCTTCTGCTGCTCCTCAGCCTTGAGTCCCCAGGACCTAGCACAGGGCAGGAGCTGCATAAATTGTTCAAGCGATAAGAGAGATGGGGAGAAACAGAGAGAGGCAGAGACAGACAGAGATGGGCAGAGCCAGAGCCAGAGACAGAGAGATGGAGAGAAACAGAGAGAGGCAGAGACAGAGACAGACAGAGATGGGGCAGAGACAGAGAGAGACAGACAGAGAGAGACAGAGAAAGAGAGACAAAGACTGAGAGACAGACGGAAATTGAGAGGAGGCAGAGGGACAGGTTCATAGGGGCATCGGGTGAATGGCCAGGGCAGTGGCGTCACCTGCATCCTCTGTGTAAGGACAGAAACACCTCGGGCAGTGGCTGGCACCCAGGAGGGTCTGCTCTGGGGGTTTGGGGCTCACGGGAGGCTACGAGAAGCAAATGGCACCTCCTCCACGGGCCTTCAGTTTAATTCAATGACCCAACGTTTGTCGGAGGCGCTAACGTGCTGAGCTCCCTCAAGCCAGCAGGACCTTTGGCCTAGAAGGATCCAGGCCAGAATTCTGAGAACATCTCTCACCTGGGGGTAGATTTCCAGAGCAGTCGGGACCTCTGGTGCCTGGGGCCCTGAATGGCACCTAGTGCGCACCTATGCCTACCTATGCCCACCAGGGCCATGGGCTCCCCAGGGGAGCAGCCCAGGGTGCAGCTCGATGGGCCGTGCACCAGGGAGAAATTCAGGGGTTAAGGGCTTCTCTGGAGCTTGCCCAGGACAGGTGAACAGAGCAAGAGGAATTCCACCCCCCAGGGTGTCTTCCCAGGGCCCAAGTCCACTGTGGGGGTTTCCTGTGGCCTCCTCCTGCCCCAGCTGCACTGTTTGCCACCAGAGCTGTCCACCTCCCTTCTCCATAGAGACCCGCAGAGAAGAGTCTGGAATGAAGAGTCCGGAGCTCAGGTTTCAGGGAGCATCGCCCACAACATCAACGAGAGAGGACCCAGAGCTCCCCGTGGAAGTGCCGGGCCAGGGTGTCCTGGAGGCCTGAGGGCAGGTCGGGAGGCTGCAGCTGGCCCACGGGGCAGGGGCTTTCCTCCCAGACCACCCTCCTGCTGACCTGCAGCAGGAGCTGACCTGCAGTGGGGAGATTGCTGGCCACCCCATGGGTCCCAGCTGAGTGGTGCGGGAGACTCACATTGTAAGCATTCTTAATGAGATGGACCACATTGCTGGAGTCCTCAGACAGCTCCCCCACGGCTGACTTGGGGATGATCTCGGTGAGTTTCTGTTGGGCAAGAAGACCAGACATGGCACGGCTAGGACCTGTGCCACGGCATCTCCACGCACTGGGCTCACCCCAGGGGCTTCTGCACCTGCAAAATGGCTGGGACGGTCCTCAACGCAGTTTTGCACTTGGTCCCCAGAGTGTGTGGTCAGTGATGTGTGGTAAGAGGTTCTTGGGGGTAAAAAGCCCTGAGCTGCCCAGGGGCCACGCCTGGAATACCAGTACTCGGGAGGCCGATGTGGGAAGATTGCCTGAGCCCAGGAGTTCAGGACCAGCCTGGGCAACATAAGAAGACCCCATCTCTACAAAAAGTACAAATATTAGAGTGGTGTGGCGTCACATGCCTGTAGTACCAGATACTCGGGAGGCTGAGGCAGGAGGATCACTTAAACCCAGGAGGTGGAGGTTGCAGTGAGCTGAGATCGCACCACTGCACTCCAGCCTGGGCGACAGAGCAAGACCTTGTCTCAAAAAAACAAAACAAAACAAAAAAAACCCAGGCCAGGCATGATGGCTCACGCCTGTGATCCCAGCACTTTGGGAGGCCAAAGTGGGTGGATCACTGAGGTCAGGAGTTTGAGACCAGCCTGGCCAACATGGTGAAACCCCGTCTCTACTAAAAATACAAAAATTAGCTGGGCGTGGTGGTGGGCACCTGTAAGCCCAGCTACTCAGGAGACTGAGGCAGGAGAACCCAGGAGGCGGAGGTCGCAATGAGCTGAGATCACACCATGGCACTCCAGCCTGGGCAACAAGAGCAAAACTCTGTCTCAATAAAATAAAATGAAATGAAATGAAATGAAATGAAATGAAATAAAAAAATAAATAAAATAAAATAAAATAAATAAAAAATAAAAAAAAAATTACTGTTGCATCATGAGGATAAGAAAAGAAAGCAAAGCCCTGAGCTGCAGCATTGTCCAGGCCTGCCCGTGTGAGTCCTCCTGCCTGCGGTGTGAGTGATCCCGCCTGCGGTGTGAGTGCTCCCGCCTGCGGTGTGAGTGATCCCGCCTGCAGTGTGAGTGATCCTGCCTGCGGTGTGACTGCTCCCGCCTGTGGTGTGAGTACTCCTGCCTGTGGTGTGAGTGATCCTGCCTGGTGGATTTCAAGCTCGCAATATCACTGGGTTGGGAGGACGTGCATGGTGGCCAGTGTTGGCCAGAATTTCCACCACACAGGTAGGGAATTCCTACCACCACACAGATGGTAGGCGGAAGTAGCCCCACGAGGGTGGATCACAGTAAAATCACCAGGAAGCCATCGGCTCTTGGCACTCTACTGAGTTTCCATGGGTGTTAAACAGCCCGGTGACATCGGTTCTGGCCGGCCAGATGCACAGGGGCGCAGCCAGCCTCCCCCATGCTCACACATGCTCAGCTTCTTTCATGGAAGATTGCGGCATCATTTCACCTTCCAGGAACACGGAGCAGATGGTCGGGTCACCTCCCCGCCCAAACCCTCCCATGACTGCCCTGCATGGGCCCAGTCCCTTCCATGGAGCTCCTGGGGCCGGTCACAGCCTGGCCACCACCCTCCTCTGCGCCCTCCGCCCACCGCCCACTTCCATCCGTCCCAGTCTGGGGCCATCCCTGTCTTGGGAGAGCTGGGCCCTCCCACATCCTGTCCTGCTGAGCCTGCTGTGCGCTTGGTGCAGAAACACACTCGGAGGGGGCGTGGCACGTGTGTCCACACTCGCTGCCTGTTGCCTTGACCACCCCCGAAGGTGACCAGGAAAGGCTGAGGAAGGCTTGTGTGCCCCAAGGCTCAGCAGTAGGCATGGGGTGCACTCTACCTGCCTCCAGTGCCTGGCCCTGGTGCCACACCATCGCCTGGAGTCTGGCTGCCATGACAAATGGCAAAGGATTGGGACCTGCTACTGCTGGTGAGGAGGGGACCGTCATGGCCACCTACAGATGGGACACAGGGCTGTGACATCCTGACCAGCAGGTGGTCTCTGTGGATGTCCGGCCCCAGCCCTGCCCTGCGCTGACCCACTGTCCCGGCAGCCTGACCAGCTCTGGGTGCCCACTCGGAGGGTCCCCCAGACACCTGCCCCCATCCCGTGTCTCCCGCAGGGTCCTGCTCCCACTCCAGAGCCCGGGGAACCTATGGCAGGAACCGCTGGTCTCGCTGTCGGCCCCAACACACCACGAGGTTGAGCTTGTAGCTGGGATACGGGCCTGACAATGGATCCCTGTAGTTCAGCAAATGTTCACTTTACAAAAGCAGCGGCCCTCCCGGGCACTTTCCTTCCCCAAACCCCGAGTATGTCTCCTCAGCCTAAGCAGCAGGGCAGGGGCTGTGAGGCTGCCCAGCTGGGCAGAGCCCCAGGCAGGGGGAAGAGGGGGCCCTGGTTTCCTGCGTGCCATTTTGAAGAAGATGGCGGTGATGGCCCTGGAATGGCCAGCAGGTCGGTCACTGTCCGGATGAGGATAATCGGGCCCTTTAGGGCGGCTGCTCTGTGAATTCCCTGAGTGGGTGAGCTCAGTACCCACGACGCACTGCCCGCCGGGCACCACTACCCCTTTCACAGATGAGGAAACTGAGGGCTCGGGGTAAGGAAGGGCCTGGGGCGTCCTGTGGTAAGTAACAGAGCTGGGTGTGAGGTGAGCCACCCAGGGCCCTGTCCACCCTGAAGAACGGGGCACGTGGCTGTGTAAAGTACAATGACAACTATCTCGTTCCTCCAGCTCCACCCTGAAGAACGGGGCACGTGGCTGTGTAAAGTACAATGACAACCACCTCCTTCCTCCAGCTCAGTCCTTCTGTCCCTGTGGCCTCAGGGCCACACACTGTGCAGGCTGCTATGGGCGGAGGCTCCTTTCAGGAGGGCGTGCAGTGTTTCCTTCCTTCTAGCGAATCCCTGTTACACAGTCAGGGCTCCACCCAGCAGGCCTGGCTGGCCACACCCCACACATGCCAAAGAGTGGTAGACCCCGGCTGAGCTCCTGAGAGGTAGCCTCTGAGCCCTTGGTACATCCTACCCGATGGGGGTGTCATTGTTCCTGGGGCCTCAGGTCACACCGGATAGTCCCACAGTGTGATTTGGGGTGGGGCCCTGGACAGTTTTCAGCTTGACCTCTGGAGGGCTAGAGACTGAGGTCAGCCATGGGGTGTCAGCCGCGCCGCTGTGACTGACCCCCAGTAGACACCGAGGCTCAAGAGCCTCCTTGGGGACCATGTTCTGTGCATGAGGCCACACATCATCGCTGGGAGGATGGAGCGCCGCCCACACCCCTGCAGGGAGGGGACACTGGGAGCTGGTGCCTGGTTTCTCTCCTGTGCACCTTTGACCTTTGCTGACTTTTGTCTGTATCCTCCCACCTCGGGCAGCGGCTGGCACCCAGGAGGGTCGGCTCTGCAATAAACTGTAACTGTGAGTTTACTGGTTCCTGAGCTCTGCAAGTCCTTCCGGCAAATCACTGATCCTGAGAAAGGTCTTGGGAACCCCAACAGCACCTGAGCGTCTTGACGCACTGACCTGCTCAGGCTGAACACATGGCACTAGCAGCGGAAATGCAGGATGAACGTGTTTCACTGGGGGCCTCTTTTTCTAGGAGCAGAGGCTGGTTATCAGCTGTGCTTCCTTCGTGAAATTCATCCCACTCCGCACTCCAAGCTTGTGAACGTTTTTGTGTAATTTTATCTTCACGGAGAGTGTTGATGTTCAAATGTATGTGAGCATAAAATAAGTGTGTTTCCATAAAATAAAGAATTGTGTTGTATTCCAGGAAAAAACAGAAATATCACCAATGCCAAGACATGCTGTTAACACAGCTGAGTTTCAGGGACGGGGAGGAATTCCTCCTCCTATCGACACGCAGGCGTCCTGTCCCCGACGGGAAGCCTCGGGCTCCTCACCTAGGGGGATCCAGGACCTGGGCCGGCTGGTTGCTCACGTGCCCAGCATGCAGAGGTGGCGCTCAGACCTGCAGTGGCGCTGGGTCTGGCCTGTGGCTGAAACATGCCCCCACCCAATGGATGCTCGGGACCCAACAGCACTCACCTCGTAGGTCTTCACCATCCTACTGGTCACCGCGAAGATGGGCTGGATGTTGTTTTCAGCCAGCTTGTGCGCCAGCTGGCCCACCGATGGGTAGTCCTGGAGAGAGGAGGTCCTGCTCAGTTGGCCCCGAGTCCAGGACAAGGCTTCCAGGTACCCGCCCCTGTCTGCCCCGCTCAGCGTCAGCCCTGCCCGTGCTTCGAACCCTCTCTGGGGAAGGCTGGAGAGGCAGAGGCTGCCACGCAGGAGTGCAGGGCAGAGAGCTGCCACGCCCTCTGGGCAATGTGTGCATAGACTCGGGCTTTCAGAGTCCAGGCATGAGCAGCATTTGAGGCGTCTCACCGTGGGACTGGGGATGTCCACGGGGGCAGAATCCCAGCCTTCCCCACACGGTGGACCTGCTTTCGCACTGAGGGACACTCAGTTTCGGTAGAGGCCATGAGTGTCAGGTGCGGCTCTCCCTACCCGAGTTCCGGGACCCGAGGGCCGTCCCTCCCGTCTGTGGCTCCCGGCGGAGGACCTGAGTCTTGTATCTCTAAAGTCCTTTGCGGCCCCCAGAGCCTACAACGTCAGGCTGCAAGAGCGTCGCACTACGGCCAGCGAGGACAAGCCCCTTGTGACCAGTGGTTGCCTCTCGGCCCACGGCTGATCCCAGCCAGAAGTCCTGGCCCCTCTGAGCCATTGAGATGCCTCCGCAGAGAGGCTCATCCTAACCCGTGCATCCTGGGCTCCTTCTCGCCTCTGTCCCTCCCTGCATGTTCCTCATGGTCCCCGCAGCCGCTCACCCAGCTCAGGCAATGGGGGCAGGGAGGGGCCACACTGGAGGAGGCGGACTCAGGGGCAGCAGGGAACGTACAGTGGAGGCCGGGAGGGGGAGGAGGCGGATGCTTGGGGATGGGACCCTGGCCAGAGGCGGGGACGGCAGGGTGCAGCCGTAGCCTGGGGGCGGTTACTATACCTCCACAGCAGCTGTCAGCCCAGGTAGGGGGGCAGTGGGGCTGGAGACCAACAGAGCCTGGGTGTCCCACAAGGGCGAGGCCGGGCCTCAGCCTGGCTGCCCCCACCAACCCTACCCTCCCCTGGCCTGAGGCCAGTCCGGGGAGACCCCACGCTGCCACTTGGGGCTTCCAGAAGTTTCCTCAGGAATCTGCTCCTTGGGTCAGAAGGAGGCTCTGTCAGGTGGAGACCCCACCCTTGTCTCCTCCGTCAGTGGTGTCCTGCCAGGCGGTGCCTGGGTGCCTGGGGTGGGGACTTACGAATTCGTTGCTCCTCTTGTACAAGTTGTCCTCCAGGTGACAGCGGCCGTCGTTGGGGGTCAGGATGGCGCCCAGCTTCCCGTCGCCCGCGAAATGGAAGCCGTCATCAGTGGCAAACACCAGCAGCCGCGTGACGTTGCGCCAGCCGATTTCCTCCTGAGAAGAAGGCGTGGGGGGCAGGGTTACCTGCCTCAGTTTCCCAGACCCGGCCCTCTGGAGCAGAGGAGACGATGCAGAGCTGGTGGGGTGGCCCGGAGGCTGGTGTGGGTCCCCCTTTCCCCTGGGTCTCAGGGACCCAGCTGTGTTCCCCCAGACGCCACGCCCAGGAGGAGACAACGGCCCTCAAACACCCCGTGCACATGTGAGGCGCAGGGAGTGGAGGCACGTGTGGAAAGGCAAGGAGAGAGACACGGCTGCGGTCCCTGCACTTCAGAGCTGGGAACAAACCCTCAGGAAACCATCCCCAAGGGGAAAAACCCTCGCAGACGTGTGGGCCACACGCAGAACGAGTGCAACATGGAGGAAAACGAGCCTGAGGGGCCCAGCAGGCCTTGAGTCCACCATTGACAGCCCCTGGCAGGCGCATGTGGGGGCCGTGCGTGTCCTAGGCTGTGACCTCACACTCGTGAGCAGTGTGTCTGCGCTGGGACTGCAGGGAAGCAGGAGAGCTAAGGTGGGTTGTGAGGGGAGGACAGTGCATGTGGCCTCAACATGGCCCAGGGACTGTGGCTGCTCTGTTAGGCTGACAGTCACAAACTGGGTGGGCGGGACGTGGAGAGCGACACACACTGGGCAGCCAGCGCCCACCCGGCCTGGAGGGAGGAGGGTGGTTCCACCCCAGGAACCACGGGACCTGCTGCCTAGCGGCCCTGTTCCACCCTTGGCCGCTCGCAAAATGTTTAGGCTTCATAAGGTTTGCCCAGGGTCACAAATTTAACTCACAGCAAACAATGAAATCAGCGCATGATTTTCGAGCCCTCGTGGTCACCCTCCCTTCCTCCTGCCCTTTCCTGCATGGGCAGCAGCAGGGTGAGGAGCTGCTCTCCCCAGGCCCAGGCTGGAGTCCCTCAGACGACCTGCCGGCCAGGGTACCCCCCTGCCCCCACACAGCGCCTGACAGAGCCCCCCACACTGGGGGAACGTGGGGACCCAAGCAGGGGCAGCGGCCTCACCGGGCAGGCGGCGACCTGCATCATGGCGTCCAGCCCACCCTCGGGTGCATCCAGGTTTCCGGAAATCAGCTGCTTCCCGACCTCGGTCTGAAACTGGTTGGAGTTGTTGGTCAGCTTCAGCACGTGCCTGAAGGCAAACGGGGGCTGGCACTCTTTCTCCTTGTTGGGGCATGGGTTTCGCAGCTTATCAGGGTGCGTGTTCACGAACGGCAGCACGGTCTTGTCCACGAAGGACCCGAAGCCTGCAGGGCACATGGAGGGGCTGGGGAGGTGGCAGGCTGGGCCCAGGTGGGAGGGCCAGCTTCAAAGGGGCACGAGGGCAAGCCTGTTTCCTCTCTCCTAGCAGGGAGGTGGAGAAAGCAAGATGGCACATGTGGAGTGTGTGTGTGAGCATGTGCGTTGTGCAAGCACACATGTGAACGTATGTGGGCGTGTGTGTGAACCTGGGAGTGTGCAATGTACATGGATGAGCATAAGTGTATGCATGTGTGTTCCTGCATGTATGTGTGTGACCAGGTATACATGTGGGCATGTGAACAGGTGCGTATGTGTATCTGTGTGTGCAGCCATCTGCATGTGTAAACATGAGTGTGTACATGCGTAGCACAACTGTGTGTGCACGTATTCCTGTATGCATGTGAGCATGTTCAGGTATGGACACACCTAGTTCACGTAGGTGACCAGGTACATATGTGGGCATGTGTGTTTATGTACGATTTATACATGTGAGTGAAGACATACATGGGTGATCATGAGTGTGCATGTGAGCATGTCTGTGTGCACATGTGGTCTTGCACGTGTGTATGACTGTGTGTGCATGTGTGTGCACATGCAAGTGTGAGCATGCATTCATGTGTGTGAGCATGCATTTGTGTGTGAGCGTGCATTCACGTGTGTGAGCGTGCATTTGTGCATGTGAGCATACATTCGCGTGTGTGAGCATGCATTTGCGTGTGAGCATACATTCATGTGTGAGCATACATTCACATGTGAGAGCATGCATTTGTGTGTTTGAGCATGTGTGTGAGCATACATTCACGTGTGTGAGCATGCATTCACGTGTGTGTGCATTTGAGTTTGGGTGTGCTTTTGTGTGTGAGCATGCATTCGCGTGTGTGAGCATCCATTTGTGCATGTGAGGATACATTCATGTGTGAGTGTGCATTCGCATGTGTGAGCGTGCATTTGCGTTTGAGCATGCATTTGTGTGTGAGTGTGCATTGCATGTGTGAACATGCATTTGTGTGTGAGCGTGCATTCACGTGCATGAGCGTGCATTTGTGTGTGAGCGTGCATTTGTGTGAGCATGCATTTGCTTGTGTGTGTGTGTGTTATCGTGCATGTGTGCATCCCCGCATGTAGGGAAGGTGGCAGAGTGCCGATGTGAGAAGCCACGGCCGGCGGGGAAGACATGCGCTGTGACTGACACACACGTGTGCTGGAGACCTGCTCTGTGGCAAGGCAGTGCTGGTGTAGAGCGGAGCCCTTGGCCCAGCAGAGCTTGCTGTGTGGTTTCTTCAGTGCTGCCGTCGCTGTGCCGTCTATATGTGTTGTGGTCTTTAATGTTTAATAATTGGCACTGTCAGAATTTTGTCTTTTAAACATACCAAGAAATAAATAAAGGAAGTAGAAGATGGAAGGGGAAGTGGAGGGCTGGACAATGTCTACAAGTGTTGGGGAGCCAGGGACTGGGTGTGGCCCCTGGCAGGGAGGCAGGCCGACTGCAGCCCTGTGGATGCCCTGGGGGGACCTGCATCTGGGGCCCCCAGATCTACCCTGGGGACCTGAGTGCGAGGAGTTGTGTGGGCCACAGGCAGGAGTGGCCAGGGTCTGGGAAAGGACTGGGTTTTGTCCTGCAGTGCCTGGGCCTCACCAATGCGGCCGGACTCGGTGATCTCGTTGAGGGCCCGGAGCAGGTCGCCACCTAGCTTCTTGACATTCCTGAGGTCATCAAGCATGGAGTAGGAGAGGTCCATCAGATAGTACAGGTCGATGGGGTAGCCCTTGGCCCGCCGGAAGGTCACGTTGAACGCTGCTGCCTGGCCTGCCGGTGGGGACAGAACAAAAGGAGCCACACCTCACATCTCACACAGGGTGTCTGGGGGCGTGTGGCCCCGAGCGGGCTGTGCACTGGCACCCTCTCCTCCAGCCCCCAAATCCTCCTGACCTCCCCTCTCCCCGCCTGGCAGGAGAGCTGAGGACCAGACACAGGACATCCAGGCAGGCTGGAGTTTCAGAGGAAGGACATGACTCCCGGACGCAGGCATGTGCCTCGCAGTGACACTGAAACCCGCCTGGGGTGCTTAGAGTTGACGCCAGCGACATTGGGGACGCCTTTCATTGAGAGTGGCAGCGGCTCACCTGGGCTCACACCTAACCCGGCCCCATGCCTGCAGTCCCACGGGCGCCCTCATCAGCAGCCACATAGACAGGCATCACACGAACCTGGCACTTCCCAGCAAGGCCCACGCGGGCCGTCCCCAGGAGGCCCCTTTCTCCATCCCAGCCCTGGACTTCCGCTCGCCCGCGTCTCAGTCACACGTGCGGTTGTGTAGCTGTCTGTTTACCTGTCACCGCAACCAGCCTGTGTCCCTGGCTCCCAGAACCGTGCCTGGTACAAGTCAGCTCTCCATAAACACACATCATGTTAATGAATGAGCAGGGAGGGAGGGTGACGAAGCCTGTCCCCTCTGCCCCACCCTCCAGCCTTCAGCCCCCCTGGGCGGCAGGACAAGTGCAGAGCCCACTCCACCCCCAACCTGCCTGCTGCCACACCCTGGGAGAAAGGGTATGTGCCCCTCCTCACAGACACACACACACGCACTCCTACACATAAATACACCACATGCACACACAGTCACACATGGCATACACACCCACATATATGCACACACACAATACTCACACACAAATATAACTCATGCACACACAGTCACACGTAGCACACACGCACCCACATATACACGCACATGGCACCCACACACAGCAAACACACCACAAATATGCACACACACCACAAACACCAACCACCACACATGCACGCATACACACACACCTCACACTCATACACAACACCAGACACAAAGCACACATACTATATGTACTTGTTCATATACACAAACACACCACATGCACGCACACACACTCGCACACACATACACACACCAAACACACACACATGCACTCACGCACATACACCACACACATGCACTCACATACACATGCATGCCACACACATATACACATGCCACACACATGCATTCACACCCATACACACACGTGCCACACATATACACACACCCCACACAATGCTAAACACATACATACCACACACACCATGCATACACACACACCACACACACATGCGCTCACACACACACACACTCACCCACATTCACACCCGGCACTCCTGGCCCTGGCCCTCGCCCTGCTGTGCCTTGCAGCCCTCAGAGGCTTCACTTGGCCTCTGGGCCAAGGACCCCAATCACTTTCTATGAAGGGCCAGACAGTAAATGTGTTTGGCTTTGGGGGCCGTGCGGCGTCTGCAGCGACATGGAGGAGGCAGCCAAGACCATGTCCCCACGAGCAATGTGGCCATGCTGCAGTCAAAGGGCACAGACATAGGCCTTTGGTGGCTGACCAAGGGGCCCCGTCCCTTCCCTTCCAGAGTAGAGGCTCAGCGAAGGGCCAGCAGGCTGCGGGGGTAGGGCCAGGACCCCGCGAGAGGACAGTCCCTTCCCAGATCCTGCCGCCCTGCTCTGGGAGCCTGTGGCCCTGGGGTGCTGTTAAGATCTCTCCCTGGTGCTCACCCGAGTTTGCCTACCCTCACCTGCATCCACCCGAGCTCACCTGTGCCCTCCCAGAGGCCACAGCATTTGCCCCCTGCACAGTGGGGATGCATGCCAGGCCGTGGGCAGCCACTCCCCCACCCTTCCCCACGGCACAAGGATGCCCCCACTCAGGCGCACCCCCACCCTCCAGGACGATCCTTCCTGACACCTCCAGCACCACAGAGCTGCACAAACTCTGGCCACAGGCAACACCTCTGTCAGCCTCAGTTTCCTCACTGTGAAGTGGGGCGTGGGGAAAATACATCAGAGCTGCCTCCAGGGGCCACAGGGCCAGGCCCTCGAGTTTGAGGTCAGAGGTGGAGGTTCCAGCACGAAGGGGCTTGTGCCTGCTCACGGGGCAGCGAGGGGCAGGCCTGACCCTACCACCAGGGTGGGGTTTTGTCCCCTGCTGCCCCCAGGGACACCTGGGCCCTGCTCCTGCAGGACCTCCCCAATGGCTCGGCCCCATCCCTCACTGTCTCCCAGCTGCCTCCCTCCCGGCTGCTGCTGGCTGTCACCTGGCCGCCTGCACCCTGGGCCACTCTGCCCCAAGGCTAACTCAGTGGCCGCTGACCTGGGCTTCCCCTGAGGGCAGAGCTCTGAGCCCCAGCCTGTCCGACACCAGCTGGTTCCTCTAAAGTCACCCTGGCCCCGTCTGCACCCTCTCCCTGGGAGATGGCTTCCCCTTCCTTCCCTGGCCTCACTGTGGCCTGGGAGGTCACAGGTCGGTGGCCACACCAGGCCTCCTTCTCCCATCTGCTGCACCACCACACCTGCCTTCCTGGAGCAAGGAGGGAGCTTCGTTTCTTCCCTCCCTTCCCCTTCCCTCCCTTCCCTCCCTTCCCTCCCTCCCTTCCCTCCCCTTCTCTTCCCTTCCTTTCTTTTCATTTTGAGACAGAATCTCGCCCTGTCGCCCAGGCTAAAGTGCAGTGGCACAATCTTGGCTCACTGCAACCTCTGCCTCCCAGGTTCAAGTGATTCTCCTGCCGCAGCAGGAGAATGTTGGCCAGGCTGGTCTCGAACCCCCGACCTCAAGTGATCCACCCGCCTCGGCCTCCCAAAGTGCTGGGATTACAGGCGTGAGCCACCGATAAGGAGGGCGTTTCTCAAAGCACTGACAGGGGACTGTGTTCTGAAACAGGTGCTCTGGTCAAGTCGAAACAGGTGCTCTGGTCAAGTCAGTTTGGGCAACACTGGTTTAAACAGTTACTTAGGTCTCTTGGCTGCAAGACTGATCAGAGCCTTTACTCTTCTAAGAGTACCCTGGCCTTCTGAGTGTGTAATGGAATAGTGTTTTGCAAATGGTTTGGTCTCCCTTTAAAAAAAAAAGGTGCAGAACGTCGGGCTGCGAGAGAGTGCAGACACTGGGCACCGATGGTAAGGGCTGGGGCAGCTCCACCTGGGGACAGAGCGGAAGGGCACTGAGGAGCTCAGCTTTCCAGCAGCCTTGGGGCTTCACTGGCCCACACACCCGTCCGACCCGGACACATGCCTTCTGGGCAGCCCTGACACCCCAGAGCAGGGCCGGACTCCCAGCCAGAGCCAATAACCAGCACAGACGGTGCCTGGCACCACCACCGAGGCCAAGCCTACCTGGTCGCAGGTAAAGCGTCACTTTTTGTGGGGACAGCTGCTTCTGGCCCCCATTGTGGTCTTCCTGGGTTTCAGCGAGGCTTGTGGGGTCCATGATGTCGTCAGCCGCACAGCCCCTCATGAGCAGCTGTGGCCGGGTGTCGCAGCGAATGGAGTCAGGATCCCCCGGCCCTGTGAAGTTCTGGGGAGGGGGAGTCAGGGGTCAGGAGGGGGCCACACTGCGGGACCTGCAGGAGGCTGACTGGCCATGGAGGACTGAGGACCCACCCTGTCCCCTCCTCCTCTGCGCCTGGAATTTGGGACAGAAGTCCCTGTGGACAGAGACAGGGAGCTCCTTCAGCCTCCCAGACAGCCCCTCCCTGAAGGCTCCCGGCCACAGCAGACCCCTGGGGGGCAGGGTATCGCCTCCTCCTCTGCCTCTAGCGGCAGAAAGGACTCAGGACCTACTCTCCAGCCCGAGGCTGACCCAAGAGGAGAGGCCTCAGCGTCCTCTAGCAGCTGGCCCAGGGGCTTCAAGCCCTTCATCAGCAGAACCTTTGTCCAAGGGAGTTGCTGTGTCCCAAAGGAACGTGGCAGTCCCTAGGCCCCCAAGAAACCCAGAACATGGGCAGGGTTCTGGGCCAAGCCCCTCAAAGTTTAGAAGAACAAAAGCTGGAGGGGAGCCTGGGAGGCCTGGGCCCAGGGCGCTTTCCTCTCAGCCACTTTGTCCCTGCAAATCCCCTGGATTCTGATGAGGGCTGTGTTTGGTGGGTCCCGTCACTGGCCCCGAGCCTGCTGCCTCTACAGGGAAGGGTGCTGGTGATGCGGGGCCAGAAGCGCGTGTTTGTGCACTTGCTTTCGTAGAGGGAAGCTCAGGAGGATAAGCCCGGCCCCCAGAGGCTGGTGAGTCCCGCAGGCAGGGGGGCAGGTGGGAGGGGAGGGCGACAGTCCCCAGGGTGCCTCTTTGTAGGGCTCTGACTTTTGGAACCACAGAATTTTTTAAAGAAGTCCTCCAGAAATAAAAGTACATCAGCAAGTATCCCAGCAAGAGAGAAAAGAAAGCCTAAATGTAATCCACACAGAAACAAACAAATCTCACTGAAAGGTGTTTATTTCAGAGGAGCTGAAAACCTCCAGAAAGGGGAGGGAAAAAACCCAGCCTGACCAAGGTAGTTTCCACCTGGGGCCTGGCCACCCTGCTCAGTCCGAGGACAGACGGGAGCCACCCGGCTTCTCCTCCGGGGACTGCTCGCCGCGGTGGCGTGGGCTGGAGGACCCAAAGCCGCTCCCTGTGGGACGCAAAATTGAGAAATGAGGAAGCTGCTGACGGTAAGGAATGAGACACCACTTCTCCTGCTGCCCTCCCCTTCTTCTCCACCCCCTCCCCTTCTCTAGTTTATAAGACAGGAGAAAAGAGAGAAAGCAAAAAGTTGGAAAGAAACAGAAGTAAGATAAATAGCCAGATGACCTTGGCGCCACCACCCGGCCCTGGTGGTTAAACTAATAATATTATTATTATTATTATTATTAACCCCTGACCAAAACTACTGGTGTTATCTGTAAATTCCAGACATTGTATGAAAAAGCATTGCAAAACTTTCTGTTCTGTCAGCTGATGCATGTAACCCCCAGTCAAGTTCCCCACACTTGCTCTATCTATCACAACCCTTTCATGTGGACCCCTTAGAGTTGTAAGCCCTTAAAAGGGCTAGGAATTTCTTTTTCGGGGAGCTCGGCTCTTAAGACGCAAGTCTGCTGACACTCCTGGCCAAATAAAGCCCTTCCTTCTTTAACCGAGTGTCTGAGGAATTCTGTCTGCGGCTTGTCCGGCTACAACGGTGCTGGAGCCCAGACTCTCAGGGAAAGGAACCCGAGCCGTCAGAAAACCATCTGATTCCAGGCTGGGGCAAGGGACATGGAGATGGGCCTGCAGCATCATGTTGCTCCAGAAAGCAAGAAAGTGCTCAGAACGGTAGAACGGGGATGCATGGACAGGACACGCAGCCAGACCCAGCGGATTTGAGCAACTCGGGGAAGAAAGGACAGCCACAGATCATGCACTACTGAACAAAATAAAACTGTGGGTCACGCTGATGAGAGAGAGGCTGCAGAGAAGGAGAGACCCTTCCTTAGGTTGGCAGCCGTGAGTGGCAGGCGGGGACCAGCACGGCACCAATCTGCAGCCATCGCAGTGATGGCGGCTTCAGGCGGGGACCTCCGCGGATGCTGAGCCTGCGGGTGCGATTTGATGAGGGCAGAACCTCACCAGCCCACAGTGGCTGCGAGGGGATCATGCAGCGGGATGGGGAGGCCGGGGGGATGCCGTCTCAGCAGAGCCGTCCACGCTGACCTCATCAAGACTGGGACGGGGCCACAGCAGTGCCTCTCATGGGCACTTAGGACACCGTCACTGAGGGGCTCCTGCCAAAGCACACCTGAGTCCAGGCAGAGGAAACTCCAGACAAGACCCCCGAGGGTCATGCTACAAAGCTGCTCTCCTGACTTCCTCAGAAACGCCCAAGGACAGGAAAGACAAAGAAAGCTGAGGACTTGTCCAGATTCAAGAAGCCCAAGGAGACGGCTGAGCGTAGGGCGAGCCTGGGTGAGGAGATTCAGAGCGTTAGACGGCTGAGCGCAGTGTGTGAACCTGGGTTAGGAGATTTGGGGCCTGAGATGGCTGAGTGCAGGGTGAGCCTGAGTGAGGAGATTCTGAGCCTGAGACAGCTGAGCACAGGGTGAGCCTGGGTGACAAAATCCACCAGGAAAATATGCTCACGAAGACATCATTGGGACAACCAATAAAATATGCGTAGTGTGTAGGTTTGATGATAATGAGATACCAATGCTGAATTTCCTGAATTTGATACATGAATTTATCAAATATAGATATACATGTATCAAAATACATTTACATCAAAGTACATTTCCTCTTGGCCACCTTGTCCCTGCAAAGCCCCTGGATTCTGATAAGGGCTGTGTTTGGTGGGTCCCGTCACTGGCCCCAAACCTGCTGACTCTGCAGGAAAGCGTGCTGGCGATGCGGGGCCAGAAGCGCGCGTGTTTCTGCACTTGCTTACGTAGTTTTGTAAGTGAAAACCTTGTTCTTAAGAAAGACCTCCCTTGAAGTACTAAGAGACAAAGGGCTCCATGTCTACAACCTACTCGGAAATGGCTGAGAAAAAATACAAGTGTGTGTTCTGTGTGTGTTTCCAAACAGACCACACATCAGAACCTCAGGGGCCCCTTGAGGGGAGGGTGAGGCCAGGGTCTGGGGACCCCCTCAAAAAGAAAATGGAGTTGTTGGTCCTCTGGGTGCCACTGGCTTCAGGGGCAGGAAAGGGCCCTCACCCAGGAGCTGGGCAGGTGGGGAGGGGTCCAGGAGGCACTTACCAGCTTCTGGCACCAGGTGCAGCCGGGCCCCGACTCGATGCATTCCCGGCAGCTGCTGACCTTGAACTTCGTGCACTCCTGAGAGAGGACTGAGGGACGAGGCCGGCTGGTGAGTGGGTGCTCTGGGCCGCCCTGCCCACACCCAAGGGGGAGTAGAGCAGGAAGGTCAGAGGAGGCCCAAAAAGACAGGGAGGCAGCCTCCAGGAGGAGACCCCGCATTCGCCACCACCCCCAGGTGCAAAGAGGGGCCCTCGGGAAACAGCACAGCTACAGCCTCCTGGCACGTGCGGAGACGAGGCCTGAGTCCCCGACCTACCCCCAGTGGCAAGGTCCTTCCCCAGCCTCCCGGGAACTTCTGTCTATGGGAAAGTGAGGGCAGGCCCTGTTCTCCCTGATTGGAATGTCACGCGTGGAGTCCCCTCCGTGGAACACAGAACTCACCGCACCCGAGGGAGAGCAGCCCCACCAGGGCGAGCAGTGGGGGGCGCAGGCCCAGCATGTCCTGTGGAGGGAAGGGGTCTTGGTGACGGTCTCAGGCCCAACCCCTGGGGCTGACCACCCATGAAGCTCCCCTCCAGCTGGCCTGGGACAAGGAGCTGGGGCCCTGTCCCTGCTGCAGGGGGTGGGTTAGGGTCAGGCCAGCACAGCTGCACTGGGCCCAGCTGCCAACAGCCAGGGAGGGAGGGATCCCGGGCTCAGCAGTGCGGGCAGCACACCTGCTCAGCCAGGCACCCAGGACAGCTGCAGCGGGCCCCTGCAGAGGCACACAACACAGGCACACACACACATGCAGACGTGTACACACACCACACATGCACGTGTACGTGCATACAGATGTGTGCCTGACTGCATGTACACACCACGTGCATGCACACACCACACATATACATGCATCACACCACACATATGTACACACAGAGATGTATACACCCCTTACCCACACCATACTCCCCGCAAGACACTACACACCACACACAAATATACACATGCACACGTACACACACATACACACCACACAGACACACACACCACACGCACACACCATACACACGTGCAAATGTACACGCACACAAACACCAGAACCCCACACACCCGGTGTGTGCACTCTGCCCCAGTGTGCCCCAGGTCCTCCGTGAGCAGAGCCTGTGCTTGGAGGAGAGCTGGGCTTGGCCCTGTCTCTCTGTGGCAGAAACATAGCCAGGAAGAGAAAGCTGGCTGGATGCCCGCGGGTGCCAGGCTGTGTGCCAGGAAGAGAAAGCTGGCTTGATGCCCGCGGGTGCCAAGCTGTGTGCTAGGCCTGCCCAGGAGCCCTGCAGTCCCTGCCAGGTGGGAAAAAAAGTCACCTGACTTGCCCAAGCCACCAGTTGCCGGGGTCCTGCCCTTTTGTTTCCAGATACACACCCACCCCGTCCTTAACCCACGCATCCACAGCCAGGGGCGGCTCAGTGGTCACTCACAGGCCCTCGGCCCCAGAGGCAAAATGACGGAAGCAGGCCTCAGCCTGGTGCTGGAGGCCGGCAGCACCTCCTAGCGGGCAGCAGGGCCGTTCCACCCCTGGGTTCCCTTCCCTCCATCCGGGAGGTGCCCAAACCAGGCCTAGGTCGGCTCCTTGGGGGGTCTTAGGGCTTCCTAGGTGGGGTGGGCCCCTGGGTCTGACCTCCCAGGACCTGAGAACATTATAGCTGGCTGGGACCCTTTTATCTGGCACCAAGAAGGTGGAGAGGTACTGAGAAGGGGTACCCAGGAGCCTTCCTGTCATGGTGGGCAGGAAGACATTTCCGTTACCCTGGGGCTGTTGTCAGAAGCAAAGATCAACACACCTCCTCCAGCAAATGCCAGTTCCTGTCACGGCCTCCCAGGCTGCTGGGGCGTTCCTGCCCCACACCCTTCCCTCGGGTGGTGCTGGCAGGGCCACCCAAGGTTCAGTGGGCAGACCCAAGCCAGCAGAGCCCCAAACTAGGGCCTGCCGGCTTTGAAGACAGCGCTGGGTGCTGTGCTGTGGCCCGGGAGGCTCGGGTGCCCTCAGCCACAGGCCCTGGCTCCCCTCCATCCCCCGAAAGCCCTGCACCTGTGCTGGGGGCTCTGAGGCCAACGGAACACCCACCAGGGGCCCATCTGAGGATCCCACAGCTTAGACGCCCCAACAAGCCCCAAGGTCCTGTTGTTTTGGCAGTGACCTCATTCCCTGGTTCCCAGCAAAATTATAATCAGAATACAAAAATGTCAAAAGGGAACCCTTGATCCTTCCCGTCCTGGGGTCAAAAACAGAACCTGCACCCTGCTGTAACTTCCTGGAGGAGGTGGTTTTGGTTCACATTGGGCCCACCCTGTGTCTGAAAGCCCCCATATCTCTGATCGTTGGGGGTTGTGGTTCAGGCCGAGGCCAGTTCCAGCTCTCCATCTGGGCCCCCTCAAAGTCCTGCGCCTGGACTGACCTCGGTGCCACGAGTGCCCACCAGCCCCTCAGCTGATCGGAGGCCCTGTGCGTGCTGGAGCTACCCCAGGGTGCAGGGTCCAGCCAGCTTCAGGACTCCCCCAGGGTGCAGGGTCCAGCCGGCTTCAGGACTCCCCCAGGGTGCAGGGTCCAGCCGGCTTCAGGACTCCCCCAGGGTGCAGGGTCCAGCCGGCTTCAGGACTCCCCCAGGGTGCAGGGTCCAGCCGGCTTCAGGACTCCCCCAGGGTGCAGGGTCCAGCCGGCTTCAGGACTCCCCCAGGGTGCAGGGTCCAGCCGGCTTCAGGACTCCCCCAGGGTGCAGGGTCCAGCCGGCTTCAGGACTCCCCCAGGGTGCAGGGTCCAGCCGGCTTCAGGACTCCCCCAGGGTGCAGGGTCCAGCCGGCTTCAGGACTCCCCCAGGGTGCAGGGTCCAGCCGGCTTCAGGACTCCCCCAGGTCGCAGCTGCGCCAAGTGGGGAGGGGGTGCAGACCTCCCCTGGCAGCCCCAGCCAGGCTGGTAAGGACTCACACCCCAGCTCCACGCTCTCCCTGGGGCCGCAGACATGAGGTCTCCGCCCCTAACACAGTCGTGACCAGTGGCATGCAAACACTTCATACCCTCAAATGGGGAAACTGAGGGCCCCAGCAGCAGCAAGATATGGACCTGGTGCCCAGTTACCCCGGGCACTCCCACCTGCCCACAGGGAGAGGGGGTGCACCTTGATTCCAGCAGGATTGGCTCAGAGACCACGGCACCCCAACCTTGACCACAGGAAGGGGGCTGGTGGGGAGCCACCTTCTCCCCACTGTTGCTCCTCCATGAGCAGCCCTGGGGGGCTTGGAGCTGGGGGCACAAGAGAAGCCAGGCCCTGCCCCACCCCCCAATGCCAGTGGCTGAGCCCAGACAAACAGCTGGGGATGAAGGTCCGCTCCAGGAGGTAAGGCAGTGCACTGAGCCTGGCAGCCAGCCTCCCTTCTGTGGGAGAACAGGGCAGGGCAGCCCCTCTGCCCAGCAGCCAGGATGGCCCACGGAGGTCCAGGGCCTCACCTGAGGCCTGAGAGACCAAGACCCCATCAGGCCTATCTGCCTCAGTTTCCTCCATGTGCCTGGAGGTGGTCGAAGGGCCTGTGCCAGCTCCCTGGGGGATGGGAATGGGTAAGGCACAGATGTAGGGCAGCATTCGGGCAAACAGGTGCCTGGCCACTGTCACCTCTGGTGCCCTGAGGCTAAGCCGGCAGAGCTGCAGGGCAGGAGGGGAGGAAGAGCACAGACACCCCCCACCCCAGCCCCTGAGCTGGCCCCAGAGCTCTGGCCTGGAGCCTGATCACCCTGAGGCCCTCCCTGCTGCCCCACACTGGGGGCAGGTGCCCTCCTCATTCTCCAAGGCCCTCCCTGCTGCCCCACACCAGGGGCGGGTGCCCTCCTCATCCTCCAGCTCTGGACATCCCCCATCTAAGGGCGGGCGGGTCCCCTTACCAAGACCTAAGGTGCAAAACCCAAAGCTGAGGCTGCTTAGGAATCCACAGCCCCACAGGCCTCTCAGAACCTTGCATCAGAGTCGCCCTTGACCTCAACCCTGCCCGAGAAGGAAGTGCTGGTGCAACCCCAGCCCAGCTGCAGGAAGTGGTACCTGTCACCAAGTCCCCTGCACAGGGGAAGCAGGGGGCTGAGGGGGCAGGACCAGGGGGACGAGGTCATCCTTCCCCGGAGAACCCCTCAGGGGCCGGGCGCCCTTCCCTCCCGGGCACCAAATGGACACAGCTAACAAGAACCACACTTCACGGTGAGCAAAGCTCTGAACATTCAGGCTCTGAGACACGAAAGCGGCGTCAGAAGAGACCTGCAGCAGATCCGGGCCAAATCACACACACCCTTTCACAGAAGTCGAGGACAGGAGAACAGGAGCAAACACAGGAAAGGAAGAGGCCAGCCTGGTGGCTGACGCCTGCAATCCCAGTGTTTTGAGAGGCCAAGGCAGGAGAATCACTTGAGGCCAGGAGTTTGAGAGCAGCCTGGGCAACACAGTGAGACTCCTACCTCTACAAAAAATAAAAATAGAAAATAAATTAGCCAGACATGGTGGCATGCATCTCTAGTCCCAGTTACTCAGGAGGCTGAGGCAGGAGGATCACTCGCGCCCAGGAGGGAGAGACTGCAGTGAACCCTAATGGCACTGCTGAACTCCAGCCTAGTTGACAGAACGAGGCCCTGTCTCAAAAAAAAAAGAAAAGAAAAAGAAAGGAAACTTTAAGCAAGACAGCAGAGAGAGGGCAGAGCCTATGCTGGGAGAGGAATCCAGCGGGGTCAGGCTTCCTTTTTATTTTTTTGAGACGGAGTTGCGCTGTCACCGGCCTGGAGTGCAGTGGCGCGATCTCAGCTCACTGCAAGCTCCGCCTCCCAGGTTCATGCCATTCTCCTGCCTCAGCTTCCTGAGTAGCTGGGACTACAGGCTCCCACGACCACGCCCAGCTAATTTTTTTGTGTTTTTAGTAGAGACGAGGTTTCATCGTGTTGATCAGGATGGTCTCGATCTCCTGACCTCATGATCCGCCCACCTCGGCCTCCCAAAGTGCTGGGATTACAGGCGTGAGCCACCGTGCCCAGTCTCAGGCTTCCTTTTTGCAACCCCGTAAAACCCTAAGACGAGACTGCTTGAGGAACCAGAGGCCCCGCAGACCCATTGGAACTTTGCATCAGAGCTTCCTCCTGCCTGTGCTGAAACCCACCTTGCGCTGTCCTAGAGGAGAGGCACTCGCATCAAAGTGACTCGGAGGTGCGCGGGAAGTGATGGACGATGCCGCCAGGGGACAAGGTTGGAAGGAAGAGGACATGGGAGCCAACCCCTGCGCTGGGAACTGAAGGCTCAAGGGATGATTATAAACTAGGCATCCACCTTTTAAGCCAAAAGCCAGAGCATCAAGATGGACTCATTTCTGCTTTGTAGGAATGTGATAAAGAACTGGAGAGAAGTGCCGTCAGGTGGGGACTGGAACACTGTCCTTGGATCACAGAGGCTCCAGGAAATCCAGGGACAAAAACAGGTCAGATCAAATAGGAACAAGTCGGAGCAGAGAGGATGCAGGAAAACCCAGCCCATGTCGCCTCTGAACCTGCGACCCTGCAAAAGCGTATTTTCCCAAGGGTCAGGGAGACGTGTTCCTACTGTTGGTTTGACTATCTGTGAAGTTTGATAGCACAGTTTTGTTTGTTTGTTTGTTTTTTTGAGATGGAGTCTCACTCTGTCATCCAGGCTGGAGTGCAATGGCTAGATCTCGGCTCACTGCAACCTCCGCCTCCCATGTTCAAGAAATTCTTCTGCCTCAGCCTCCTGAGTAGCTGGGACTATAGGTGCACACCACTAGGCCCAGCTAATTTTTGTATTTTTAGTAGAGATGGAGTTTCACCATATTGGCCAGGCTGGTCTCGAACTCCTGACCTCGTGATCCGCCTGCCTCGGCCTCCCAAAGTGCTGGGATTACAGGCGTGAGCCACTGCGCCCGGCCTGATAGCACAAATTTTAAAGGCCACAATTTCTGGCCAAATGAAATAAAATGAGACACCCCACCCCCCCGACACACACATATTAATAAGGAATGCTAAAGTACTCTGCTAAATACCTGAAGTCAAAGGGAAATCAAATGATATTTACAGCATTTTAGACAAGGGGACACCACTCCTCCATCTAACATGAAGGAGACTGTCTGTTCCTGGGTGGCGACGTGAGGCCGAGGCCCCGGACACTCTTGCTGTGGACATAAAAGAATGGCCACAAATGTGTAGGACTTCAGTTTTAGGGAATAAAACAATAAAGGAAATAGAAGAATAGGTATCTAAGAGTAAGGAAACCTCAGCATAAAAGCTAAGGGGAGGCCGGGCATGGTGGCTCATGCCTGTAATCCCAGCACTTTGGGAGGCTGAGGCAGGCGGATCACCTGAGGTCAGGAGTTTGAGACCAGCCTGAGCAACATAGTGAAACCCCATCTCTACTAAAAATACATAAATTAGCTGGGCTTGGTGGCGGGCGCCTGTAATCCCAGCTACTCGCGAGGCTGAGGCAGGAGAATCACTTGAGCCCGGGAGGCAGAGGGTGCAGTGAGCTGAGATCTCACCTCTGCACTCCAGCCTGGGCAACAAGAGTGAAACTGTCTCAAAAGAAAAAAAAAAAAAAAGCTAAGGGGGAAAATAGCAAGAAGACAGACTCTAAAAATGGCACATGTTGTACTAACAAATTGCATAGAGGAAATAGCTATTATCTCTCTAGTGCAAAAGGTAAATGGTAATCTTCATCTCTAAAGAGATCTTAGAAATTAATAACAAAAAGGTAAATACTCCATTCAAGGATGTTTCAAGGGTGTGGCACCCTGAGCAGGTAATTCACAAAAGAAGGAAGAAAACTGGCTAAGAAACATATGAGTCACCCCAGGAAAGAACCAGGGATTTCAGCCAAAATATCTTGATTCCCTGTGTAGCCGTCAACGTGTAAGATGCTTTGGCGGTTTCGGTGCCTGCGCTATGGAGTCCCACACAGCAACGAAAACATGCAAACAGCTGCTCAGGGCAGCTTGGCTTCGTGGTAAAAGTGAATTTATGGGGAAAAAAAGAGAGACACAGTTCCAAAATATTCTGCATTTCTCTGGGTGGTGGCACTATGAGTATTTTCAATTTTCATTATTCCTGTTTGTATTTTCCACCCTTTTTGTGATAAATGAATAAAGGACATTTTAAAAATGGAATTTCATGGTGGCCGACGAATTATGCTGAAATTGCTCCTTCGGATTCCAAAGCTACTGGCTTTCTTGTTCCCACTGTGACGTTGATGAGGACGCTGCTTCATGGCAGTGGGACCTCCCTGCTGGCATGGGCTTGTTGCCACTGTCACTCACCCATTCACCCATCCATGGGACAGGGGCTTGCCAGCCTCTCCTCTAGGCACGGCGCAGGGGCTGAGAGCTGCACTCCAGGACTCCTGGACTCTGCCCTCTGCTGAGACTCTCAGCACCTCTTTTCCCCAACACCTACCCCAAGTTTCCATCACACACAGAAACCTCCACCACTCCCAACACCAACATGTGTCCCCAGCGAGGCTGTTTACAAATCAGCTGGGCAGGAAGGTGTTCCCCTGGGGCTAACTCTTCTGCACTCTCAGACCCTGAATGGCCGGAGAGAACACGCAGCCCGGGGTGGGCAGGGGCCTCAGCTCAGGACAGCACCAGGGCCCTCTGTGCTTGCTCAGGGCCTGGGCTCCACACACATGGGCTCGGAATCGACAAATGCAACCACCTAATCAATGCCCCGTGTCAGTGCCAGTTTGTGCCAAGCAGAATGGGAGGGATAATTGCTGGCACCAGGTCCGGCTTGGGGTGGGTATCACCCACAGCTCCATAATTGCTAGGCGCCCACTGCAGAGCCCCTTGAGTTGGGGCTTCCCAGCGACCTGGCCTGTACCTGCTGGGCAAATGCCTGTGTCACTGACCCCTGTGGCAGCTGGCATTCTCCTCCGGGAACGGGAGCCAGCCTCCGGTGACATGGCCTCAGGCAGGACCACGGTTCTCTGACACAGGACACGAGTGCAGCAAGGGGGGCCCACACAGGACCTGTTCCATGGAATCGCCACAGGCGTCACGCTGCCCCATCCACAGAGGCAAATGTCCCACAGCCCTGGTACCTGGTGGGGCCCGGCCTGGGCCAGAGTGGACAGACCTGGGCCTGGCAGGAGCCCTGGGGAAGTGAGTTCAAGTTACACGGTTGACTATAGAGACAGCTGGAGTGCGCACAATTGGCCAGACCACCCCTCCTGTTTCACAGATGGGGAAACTGAGTCACGGGGGACCAAATAGCCTGCTCACCCCATGCCCCTTCCAGACAGGGTGCAGATAGGGCCCCTCCCATCTCCTGGATGGCCGCGGCCCCTGTGCAGAACTTCCTTCATGGGCACCTCGCTGTCTGGGGGCCTCTTCCCCAGGGAGTCTCCTGGTGGTGGCCGTGTTGCCTCAGGCTCACTGTGCACTAGGCAGGTCACGTCGATGCCGCCTGAGGGGCAGGGGTTACCACCCTGTGGTTCAGGTGAGAAGCTCCAGGCTCAGGAGTGTCCAGCTGCCTGGGCAGTGTTTGGATCTCATGCCAGCCCCTGCCAGGAGGCCCTGCTTCTCCAGCCCAGCCCACGCCCACCAGGAAATGCCCCTATTTACTCCCTTGAGGCAAAGGCCCTTGGGTGGCTAAGCGTCCCCTCTCCCAGCACTCGGAGCTGAGCGTCCCCTCTCCCAGCACTCGGAGCTGAGCATTCCCCTCTCCCAGCACTCGGAGGCACCTGCAGTTGCTCAGCTGTTCATTGAGTGCTGGGAGTGGAAACTCATACGCTGAGCGGCAGTGACGCTGCGGAGCTGACAAACCCCACAGCCCGCCCGGTCACCTGCTTCACCGAGGGCCACAGCCCCCCCGGGGTCAGGTGGCCACAGGGGTCCTGGCCATGTGGGACATCTGTTCTGTGGCCCTGCTCAGGATGGCACCCGGCGGGGACTGGCCCTGGGGCCGAGGCATGGGCTCAGCCGCCGCCCTGCAGGGACGTAGCCAGGGACCTCTTCCCAGCAGAGGGACTCCCCCACTCATCCCCAGAATACTGAGGGGCACGCTGGGTGCCAGGCTGGCAGGGACCCTGGGGATTCTGCTGTGAGCTGGATGGGGAAGGAGTTCCTTCCTAAAATGTGGAGTCTGGAGGCCACTCTTGGTAAAGTGCTGGCCCCCGGGGATTCTGCAGTGAGCTGGGCATGGATTCTGCAGTGAGCTGGGCTTCACTCATGGTGAAACGCTGGGGTGACGGCAGACAGCCCAGAGCTTCTAGCAGCTCATTTCTGTGAAGCCTCCAGAATCCGGCCTCAGCCCCCAAACCCGCAGGCGTTGCGCCACCGTCACGGGGAAGGCGAGTGACAGCGAGTGTCCCCTATGCCCCCACAGCTCGCTCCCAGGCTGAGCTCTCCGGCCATCCCCCCCCTTCCCCATTGCAGCCATGCCACCCCTCCTTCTCCCCACCCAGGAACTGACAGAGGAGAGGGGCCCCGGATGGACAGGGACAGCAGGGCAGAATCCCAGCTCCCAGATCCAGGGGAGGGGGGATTGGGTGTGGGGACGGTGGTGCAAGGGGTGGTGCCAGGGGTGGAGGATGCATGGGGAGGGCTGGCCCCAAGAGTGCAGTGTTGGGGGAAGGGGGCCAGGTGGGCCTGGGACCCAGGGGCGTGGCTTCAATCCCCCTCCCACCAGGACCTTGGGAATGGCCTCCAGGAGCCTGTTGTGGGGAGGCCAGGGTCACCAGCTGAACCAACTCGACCAGAATCGCACAGCGGTGCCCGCTCCCCTACAGCAAGACGTCACCCAGGGGTCCCCACGGAGGAGGCAGGGAAGCTCGAGGGTCCCAGAGGAGCATGGAGCATGTGCCACACCACACCACACTACATTACACATGTGCACCATACATGTACATACAACAGACTCCCCACATCACATGCGCACACTCGCACACCATACATGCACACACACACACCACACTACGCTATGCCACACACGTGCACCATACATGCACACCATGCCACACTACACACACGACACTACACACCACGAACCACACCACACCATATCACACACCACACACTGCGAGTCGATCTGGAGATGGAATCGCTGTAGCCAGGCGGGGCAGCATGCAGACAGGAGGGCCTAACACAGGCAGGCGCAGCAGGTTCACAGAGGAGGCCCCGGGAACCTGCCTCCTGCCCAGCCCGGAGCACCAGGACCCCCCAGCCGTCCCCCTAGGGGCTTGTGGGCCCAGCCTCTTCCTGGCCTTGCCGGCCTCACAGCCCCTTGTCCTCCCATGCCGGCCCCATCCTCAGCCGCAAGCGCTCCCAGCACACCATGTGGCTCTGCTCTTGGTGGCAGGCACTTCCCCTTGCCGGGTCTCAAAGGGGACCCTGGAGCAGACGGTCTGGAGACCCCTTCCTGCCAGACACCCCTGGGCCGGGGCTATAAGCAGGGCCACCAGGGTCACTCCAGGCTGGGGCAGGAGAGTGCTTCCCTCCAAAAATCACCGTGGACATAGCGGGGCCTCTGCACACTCACCCTCGGTGTGCTGGAGTCCTCGGCGGTGCTCCTGGCTGGGCGTGGGGGCTTTGCTACCAGTCTGCCCTGGGTCACGTCTAGAAACCTCAGCTGGAGGCGCGGGTCGTAAAGTCCTGACACTTCCTGTTCCTCTCAGCTCCTCCTTGGAGGAAGTGGTGGGTTGCACCACCGTGGCCCTTCACCCCTGCCCCTCTCCGCTCTACAGCAGCTCTGATGTCAGAGAGCGGCCCCTTGAGACAGGTGGGACATGTCATTTCTCACATGAGGTCCCGGCGAGAAGGACCTGCTTCCATCAGATTCACACTTGGGAGAGGGGCCCGGCCTCCAGGAGCGCCAGGCAGAAAGGGCACCCATTAGGAAGAAGAACACAGAGGCCATGGGAGTGAAAAGTTTGATGCTGGAAAGCAACAGTAGCACATTCTGCTACAGAGCGGAATGAAAAACCCTGGGGAGCAAATTCCTGAGCCAGAGAATGGAGCGGAGGAACCAGCCAAGGAGGATAAAGAGGTGGGAACAGGCAAGAAAACCTGGGTGCGTGCACGCATTGACATCCACCTGCATGTGAGGGCGGGAGGGGACAGAACAGGGACAGCGAGGAGGAGACACTCAGGTCACAGGAGGAAGGCTGCGGATCTGGGCGGGGACGTGGATTGCGAGGCCACTGAACACCCCAGGGATGGATGGATGAGGTCCTGTTAACTAGGGACATTAGGAGGATACCACAGAACACGAAAGGGAAAATACTACAGGCTCAGAGAGAGAGAGAAGGGAGAGGAGGAGGAGGAGGAAGAGGAGGGAAAGAGATTATACCTAGAAAAAAAACCCAAATCAGACATCTTCAGAGCAAGGACTCAGACACATTACTACCCTAAACTCTGTTTTATTTATTTATTTATTTTTATGTTTTCAGTTTTTTTTGAGACAGAGTTTTGCTTTTGTCACCCAGGCTGGAGTGCAGTGGCGTGATCTCAGCTCACTGCAACCTCTGCCTCCCGGGTTCAAGCAATTCTCCTGCCTCAGCCTCCCAAGTAGCTGGGATTACAGGCACATGTACCACCACGCCTGGGTAATTTTTGTATTCTTAGTAGAGACAGGGTTTCACTATGTTGACCAGGCTGGTCTTGAACTCCTGGCTTCAAGTGATCCATCCACCTCTGCCTTCCAAAGTGCTGGGATTACTGGCGTGAGCCATGGCTCCCGGCTCCTAAACTCTGTTTTAAAGATGTCTTGCAGAAATAGACATGAAGAAATCCATGAGAAATACAAGAGCAGATGATACAAAGTTGGGCAAAGAAATAAGTAAAAATTATGATGTCATAACCTGTTGATTTAAAAAATAGTGGTAAGAATATTAACGCTGTGAAACAAAACGCCTAGAGGACTGGGTTGGGAGGGGCCAGGGAGCACATTGCCGTTCCATCCTATCTGGGGAGGAATATAGATGCTTGTCAGTGGGCATTTTGATAGAAAATATCTAAGTATATATGCTAACAATTCAAGAGTCTCCTTAAGAATAAAAATAGCATGTATATACCTGAAAAAAAATATGACAAATCTTTATTTTGGGCATGGTGGCTCAAACTTGTAATCCCAGCACTTTGGGAGGCCGAGGTGGGAGGATCACTTGAGCCCAGGAGTTCGAGACCAGCCTAGGCAACATTTGGAGACCCAGACCCTCATCTCTACAAAAAAATTTTCTAAGAATTCGCCAGGCATGGTAGCACGCGATATGGTCCAGGCTACTTGGGAGGCTGAGGTGGGAGAATTGCTTGAGCCCAAGAGGTTGAGGCTACGGTGAACCATGCTTACACCACTGCACTCCAGTCTGGGTAACTGAGAAAAAAAAAAAAAAAAAAAGGCAAATCCTTTAAAAGAAAAAAGTAAGGGAAAATAGAACAAACAAGAAAGGTAAATAAAAACCAAACAATAAAACATTGGGAATAATTTCAAACCCATCAGGAATCACAGCACCTGTGAATGGGTTACATTTTCTTGTTTTAAATCAACAAGGTCTTGCGTTGGGTTTTAGAAATAAAGAGACAAAACAAGTTCCAATGAAATGTTCTCTGTCAAGGGTATCTTCTCATTACAGACTTAGCCTAGAAAATAATGAAGAAGGACAGAAAGAGAATACCATTCTACTACACCCGCTGATGACTTAAAGTAAGCAATGACCCTCGCTGCGAACGTCACGGACGCAGCAGACGTTATGCACACACCTTTAATGAATTAGTCTTGATGAAATAACAATAGAAATCAAGAAAAATAGAAAGAACAAATGTTACTATTGAGCCTGAATCAGGTCGAACTTTTTAGATCTACAAAGAAGCATCAGGAGGGTGTGTTAGATGACATCGTAGGGATGCAATTAGCAAAATCCAGGCTGAAGAAACCCTCACAAGGCAAACAGCACAGTACAAGAGGAGAGACGAAGGGAGAGAGACCCTTTAGATTAAGAGATTTAATCTCTTAATAGAACCAATTGCAATGCATGGACCATATTTTAAAATCATTGTTAATTGTTTTAAGTGTGACAATGGTTTGTGGTTATGTTAAAAAGTCCCCATCTTTTAGAGTTACATGTTGAAATATTTGCAGATGGTGCAGTATAATGTTTCAGATTTATTTCCCAATAAAGAGGGGTGGGTTGGGTTGGGGGAGAGTCGGGAGAGGTGTTGATACAACAAGATCACCTGTGAGTTGATTATTTTTGAAGCCACTGTTGGGGACATGGGGCTTCACTAATCTATTCTCTCTACTTCTGTAGATGTGTGAAATTTTTTGTAGTAAGATTAAAAAAACATTTCAAGGAAGTGTAAAGTTATTATTTCGCGGGTATAAAGTTCCCGTTTTGCAAGATGAAATGGTTTTGGAGAAGTTGGTGGTGATGGTTGCACAGTACTAAGTGTCCTTAATGCCACGGAAATGCATAACTTCAAATGGTTAAAATGGTGAATTTATGTTATGTATATTTTATCACAATTAAAAAGTAAAAAGTGTAAGAAAGGCTCTCTATCAGATAAACTGTTAAAAGAGAACACTGAAGGCTGAAAATAAAGAAACGGAAAATACACGTATGTGCTAGAAAATACTAACGAAGATATCGTGTAACATCAAAAAGATAGAAATCAAAGCAAAATGCATCAAATGGACAAAGGAAGATGTAGCCAATGAGAGTCAGAATCCACAGACAGTTCAGCAGCCATAATCCTTTGTGTGCCGAACTTCAAAATATATAAAACAAAGACTGACAAATATATAAGCAAACTGACACAGCCCCAAACAGCAAATATCTCTAACAGATCTCTCTCAGAAATAAACACATCAGGCCAGTCGCGGTGGCTCACACCTGCAATCCCAGCACTTTGGGAGGCTGATGTGAGCGGATCACCTGAGGTTAGGAGTTCAAGACCAGCCTGGCCAACATGGCAAAACCCTGTCTCTACTAAAAATACAAAAATTAGCTGGGCATGGTGGCGCATGCCTGTAATCCCAGCTACTTGGGAGGCTGAGGCAGGAGAATCACTCAAACCTAGGAGGCAGAGGTTGCAGTGAGCCGAGATTGTGCCACTGCATTCCAGCCTGGGTGATGAGAAGGAAACTCTTACTCAAAAACAAAAACAACAACAAACAAACAAGAAAAAATCAAATAGAAATGCAAATTTGGCAGGTAGAGAATTTGAGGAACGTAACCATTCGTCTCCAACTTAAACACAATTATGTTACAAAGTGGGACAATGATAAACACATAATTACTAGACCACAAGGGAAATAACCACATATTCTAAAGCACAAAGACCATAAGGAGGCCAAATTCACGGACACAATTGAATGAAATTAGATGCTGTCCAAAGGATGGCATGAAAGAAAAAAAACAGCACTCCTGAAAAGTGGACCCAAATATAGCCTAGATCACATACATCCATGGTGCCACACTCACGCTACGGGGTAATGAATAAGAGCCCTTGAAGTGCTGCTCTGAAGCCTCGTGACCCACAGATCCGTAACACTGAGATTCTTCTGAAAAGCAAAATGTAGAAGGAGGCATTGAAGAATAACATGCACCTCGTCCCTGCAGACCCACACACCCCTAGAGCAGGACAGTGGTTACCCCTGAAGACAGAGAAGGCTACGGGCCTGGGAGATGGAAGCAGAGGGCTTCAAAGTTCTATTGTAGAGTTTTCTTTACTAAAAAGGAAGAAAAAGTTCTGGGCAAGTCAGGCAACATGTTAAGATTTGGTAAGATGAGAGGTAGCTGTTTGGGGATTGGTACTAGTGCTCTCCATGCTGTTCTGTATTCTTAAAATAGTTTATATCTTTTTTTTTTTTTTAAAGGAGCTAGGAGGAAGTGACTGCAAATGAGCAGAAGGATCTTTCAGGGGGTGGAAATGCTCTGAAATTAGATTGTGGTGATGATTGCACAATTCCGTAAATTTTCTTTTTGTTGCTGTTGTTTCTTTCTTTCTTTTTTTAATAGAGACTAGGTCTCGCTACGTTGCCAAGGCTATGGTGAGCCAAGATCACACCACTGCACTCCAGCCTGGGTGACAGAGTAAGATCCTGTCAGAAAGAAAGAAAGGAAGAAGGAAGGGAGGGAGGGAGGGAAGGAAGGAAGGAAGGAAGGAAGGAAGGAAGGAAGGAAGGAAGGAAGGAAGGAAGGAAAAAGAAAAGAAAAAATAAAAACTGAACTCACATGAGAACCACAGCCCACAAGAGGCAGGTCTGGACTTGTGGTCTAACCCTAACCAGACTGACTGCTAGCAAAACAAAAAGATCATTGTTGTCCAGAGGATTTTAGTAGAATCCAGAGTCTTATTAAATAATATTCAAAATGTCCATGATACAACCCAAAAGTACTCAAACAGCAACAAAGAAAACCTTGAGAACTTGTAAGAGAAAAGATAACTAATAGATGCCAACTCCGAGATAATCCCAATGCTGAAATGATCACACGGAGCATTAAAACAGCTGTTAGAGGCCGGGCGCGGGGGCTCACGCCTGTAATCCCAGCACTTTTGGAGGCCGAGGCGGGTGGATCACGAGGTCAGGAGTTCGAGACCATCCTGGCTAACATGGTGAAACCTCGTCTCTACTAAAAATACAACAACAACAAAAATAAATCAATAAAAATAAAATTAGCTGGGCATGGTGGCGGGTGCCTGTAGTCCCAGCTACTTGGGAGGCTGAGGCAGGAAAATGGTGTGAACCTGGGAGGCGGAGCTTGCAGTGAGCCAAGATCGTGCCACTGCACTCCAGCCTGGACAACAGAGCGAGACTCCGTCTCAAAAAATATATATACAATAAATAAATAAATTAATTAATTAATTAAATAAAGGCTGGTGGAGGGAGTGAAGGGGAGGGGCTAGGGACCGTGGGGCTTCCCAGAGCCGTGACCTTGCTATGGGGGGACCCAGACCTCCATTCCGGGGACTCACTCAGCACTCATCTTACTATCCCCCATCTGATGTGCCTGTTGCACAAGGCTGGAAGTCAGAGGCTGTGCACGTTTTTCTTTGTGGAGACAAGTGAGTAATTGGTGCGTTTAGTGTAAAAATATCAGGTGTGGCTGCACGGAGTGAAAAATCACAGGCTCCACGGAGCCGGGAGGCCTGCTGCCCTGCCCTCTTGCTTTGATGAGGAAATGGCGACCGCAGAAGGAAATGTAGCAGCACCGGCAACCGGCATCCGTGGGGCCACGCCGGGCTGCTTCCCAGGGCCCTCCAGCCAAGCAGCCACAGGAAAGAGTAGATGTTGATCCCAAGCTAGGACTGAGGAGTCCGTCCCTAAGAGCCGAGGGAGTCAGGTGGGCGAAACTGGCCGCATGTCTGGGTACAACTGCTCAGGGTTTCTCATCTGCTGAATCACCAAGCTAGGTTCTGAAGCCAGGCGTGAGTGAGCAGGACTGGAGCAGGATTCTGGGAACAATCTTTTCCCTCCAGTCAGCCCAGAAATTCCATTTGCAGTCACTTTCACTTATGTATTCCAGAAAACTACCTGCTGTCATCAGGGGTTGGTTGGTTGAGCCTTTCCCTGTGCTTGCCTGGCAGACCTGCGTGCTCTGAGGCTGCCCGACCCTGAGCTCCAGAACAGACCATCGAGTTCAGGAGACAAGCATGTCAGCCATGACACAAGGCAGATGAGAGGGACCCCCAGCGTCCACACGTGGAGGCAGCGGGGGCAGCCGGTGAGCATAGATGGGGAAGGAGATTCAGAGCCTGAGGGCTGCTCTCCTGCCCTCCCATCCTGGACACTGGCCTGGGCCCCCCAGCTTCCCTTCGCCCAGCTTCCACCCCCATAACACACAACCCCAGAGCTTGGGAAGGAGGTCTCTCTGTGACAGGTGGGATTCTGGAAGTTTCCACGGAGGAGACCCCATAGGAGCAGGGTTTGAAGGTCAAGAAAGATGCTAAGGATGGAGAGGGCCAGTGGGGAGAGGGTGGTTCCAGGCTCACTTCACAGAGGTGCTTGGGGAGCTGCAATATTTTGGCAGCACCAAGGGAAGAGTCAGGTCAGTGAGGTTCATAAGGGATGAGAAAGGAGTCTAACCAGCCCTGGAGACCCCTGGGGTCTGGCCCCACAGGGAGATGTCCAAGTGGCAGAAAGTCCCTTCCTGCCTGGAGAGCACCCCCACGAGGACCCTGGGGCCACCCGGGAACCGCTGCTCCCTCCCAGTCACTCACCACACTTCCCTCTCCCGCCCACCCTCCAACCTGCCTGCAAATTCCCCTGCAACCCAACTCTGGTCTCCTCCCAACCCTGCCCCCACGTAGGCCTTTTTTTTTCTTTTTCACTTCTTCCCCCCAGTGACTTCCTTCTGCAGTGTTGATTCAGCTCCCTTTGAAGGCGGGTGAGACCTTTTGCAGGCTGGGGGCAGGGGCGGGGGCGGAGAAGAGGGCTGCAGGCAGGGCTGGCAGAGGGGAGGAGGTGACACACACTCCCTGGAGGCGAGTGGGGAGGGCTCGGGGCAGGAAATGGAGTTGGGTGCCCCAGGTGGGGTGCTCCAACGAGCTCTTTCTCATGGGATCCCCCACAGATCCATACAAACAGGCTGACCATCAGGGCTGGTCCCAGGCCACCAGGCTGGGTGCAATGCAGAAATGGAGATCTGCCCCGGGGAAGGCAGGTGAGTGTAGGAAGGAGGGAGGGCTGCGAGAAGCTGGGGGCAGCCTCCATCCCCCTGTGGCCTGGGTGGGCCTGTGCCCCCCCAACCCCCCGACGCAGCTTCCCACACTGGGAGCACAGTTCCTCCCTCCTCTGCCTTCCTCTGCGTGGTGTGGCTCCTCCTTGAGGGAGAGAGCTGAGGAGGTGGCATTCTTGCTTCCCTGACTCACCCAAAGGAAGATTTCACAGCCCCTGGCAAGGGCTGCCAGACAGGCTCACCTGTCACCCCCTGTCCAGGGACAGACTGACCGGTAGCCTTGGCTGGGTGGGGAGTTATGCTGGGAAGTCTTCCAGGCCCCCTGGGGGTGGGAAGATGCTCAATGTTCAAAGGAGATGGAACGAGGAAAACAGTTAAGCAACGATGGACTCCAGGGGGAAAACCGGAGAAGAAGAAACTGTAATTCCAGTCCGTCCACATGGCCCAGCAGTGAACGACAATTGCATGGTCAGAGAGAGCAAAAGCACCACGCCGACTGAAAGCAGCTCGAATGTGGTGGGGCAGTGGGAGATAATGCCCTCATCTACCAAAACAAGATCTGCCACCTTCGCAGACCACTAAACCTCATTCCTCCACCCACCTCCCCACCCCCATGAAGGCCAACTGACCAGAGAGCAGGGCTCCCGAGGGTCGGGTCGGGTCGGGTCGGGTTGGGTCGGGTGGGTGCCTCTTACCCTAACTGAGGCTCTGCCCTGGACTCGGAGTCCACTTGCTGTCAAAGCATGCCACTCTTCTTTCTGATACTTGACATATTTCTTTTCCCGTTCAATTCATGGTTTCTGCCCAAACGGAGCCACGTGAGGACTTCTTTGGGGATGTGTCTCCAAGAAAAGTGTGGGCTGCCTTCCTCACCCTGGATGCCTGTGGGCAGCCTTCCTCACCCTGGATGCCTGTGGGCAGCCTTCCTCACCCTGGATGCCTGTGGGCTGCCTTCCTCACCCTGGATGCCTGTGGGCAGCCTTCCTCACCCTGGATGCCTGTGGGCTGCCTTCCTCACCCTGGATGCCTGTGGGCAGCCTTCCTCACCCTGGATGCCTGTGGGCAGCCTTCCTCACCCTGGATGCCTGTGACTTGGTTTCCATGGGGGCTTCCTAAGCTCAGGGACCCCAAGCCTCCATCAAATCTAATGACCCGCCTTGTCTCTGAACACACCTGTGTTGTCCCCGAGCCCCTCACCAACCCCCTCTGCAACCCGGCCCACGCATTTCCCATCCTGAAGGGTCCAGCTCATAGGCCGGCCCATGTGTTCCCTTTACCCCTGCTTTGTCCCTACCTGGTGGGGAGCTGTCCCTTCTGGGCCCTAGTGTGGCACTTCACACACAAATGTGTCCTGTGGGTGGTATCTGGGCCTCCCCCTGCAGTGAGGGGATGACCAATGTGCAGAGCTCACTGGGCCTGGATATGGGCTCGGGTGGCACAGAACAGAGAGAAAGTGCTCCGTAAAAGTGAGCTGCGATGCGGAGGTGGGCAAGCTCTTCCCTGGAGGGGGAAGAGCTCTCAACCCAGAGGGATCTGACCAGGAAGGTTCACCCCCCCTCCACCCAGGAAGCCCCTGCAGACAGTATGTGTTTTAGGCTTTGCTGGCCAAATGGTCTCTGCCGCGACTACTCAGCTCTGCCATTGTGGCTGCAGAGTGACCATAGACCTTCTGAAAGTGAATGAGTATGACTGTGTTCCAATAAAACTTTATTGACAAAAACAGGTGGAGGGCCAGCCTAAGGGCCCAAGTTTGTAGGTCTCTATTCTAGACCAGTGATTCTCTGGAGAGGAATGGGGCATGGGGAGTGGGGACAGTGTGTGGGAGAAGAGGTGGGACACAGGCACGTGGGAATGGTGCGGACATGGAGGACATTGGAGGTGGGGAAGAGCTAGAGAACCTAAACACTGACGCTGGACCCTGGTCAACACTAGGTCTCTCCACAGCCTCCTCTTTTAGCCTCTCCCTCCAGTTTCAAAATGACTCCTCCTCTGAGGGGACTCAGGCTCCCCACCCTGCTCCCCAGTTCCCACCAGAAACCCCAAGTGGGTGTTCCAGCCTCTGCCCCACAAGGCCCCCATGGAAGGCAGCACCGCCAGGCAGGGACCTTTCCTCGCTGCCCCTCCCTCTTCCAGTTCTGAGTCCTGTCCCGGAGATGACCTCTCAACCCAGAGGGACCTGACCAGAAAGGTCTGGCCCCCTCCACCCAGGAAGCCCCTGAAGGCTGGAGGGCAGCCCTCCCCCCTCCCTCCCCCTGTTAGTTTTTCTTTCTGATAGAAACAGCAGCAACCGCTAGGCACCTGCTAGGCAGGGGGCTGCACAGCCTCAGGTCAGTTCCTGAAAGGCACCTTTTTCCATTTGTAAATGAGGTGACAGGTCTGCCTCCCAGGGATGAGCAGATGAAGGGTTGGGAGTGCAGAGCCTGGGAACACGGAGTGGCAGTGGGGACTGGGGCCCAGAGGCTGCTGAGTGAGGGAAGGCTAGGGGCAGTGAAGCTGGTGAATGAGGCAGGGGCAGAAGACAGGGTGGGGGAACATGCCCAGCGAGGCTGGTGAATGTGGCACTGCAGGGGCAGGGTGGGGGACATGCCCAGCGGGGCTGGTGAATATGCCACCGCAGGGGCGGGGAGGGCAGAATATGCCCAGTGAGGCTGGTGAATGCGCCAGGGGCAGAGGGCGGGGAGGGGGAAGATGCCCAGCGAGGCTGGTGAATGTGGCACTGCAGGGGTGGGGTGGGCGGATGCAATGATGAGCATTTCCTCCCTGGGGCCAGCAGAGCAGGGGTGAGGCTGAGTGGGTATATTACTCCGATTTGGGTGGGACCCCATGCAGTCACACGTGGGGGACGCAGGGCTGACAGCCTTGCATGACCCTTTCACACTTTAGCCATAGCAATGCCAAGCCCAGAGAGGCTGCAAGGCCCTGGGGAGAACAGAGGCCCCGGAAGGGGTGGCCAGCTGGGCTTCACTGCAGTCCTCACCAGACAGGATTGAGATTTTAACGTGTTAACTTGTTTTCTGTCTTTTCCAAATTGTTTATGGTAGCCATGCATTAATTTTATAATCAGAAAAGCATGTTATTATAACTCAAGTTAAATGGCTCCAAAACAAAAGTACCCAGACCCCAGAGCCTGCCCCTCTCTAGCTGGAGAGAGGGACGAAGTATAAGGAAAAGGAACGGAAAGCTGAAAGGACCCCCGGGCTCTGGAACCCGACCCAAGGGTGATGCCGCCAGGGCTACCAGGAAGCGGCTCCGTGCTGGGCTCAGCCGGTCTCCTACCCACCCCAGCACACCTCAGCCCCCAGCCTCTTCCTCCCGCGCCTCCCCCGCCCTCACCACTTCCTCTCAATGGTCCCTGGGGATTACAGCACGATTATTTTTATTGCAAGAGTTTCCCAATGCGGGAACTCACAGCCCCAAAGAGTTTGCATCTGAGCTTCCTGTAGCATCCTGGGGCACGGACAGGCGGAACCGGGCCATCAGCCGTCCCTGCGCACAGAGGCGCACAGATTGGATCCGGCCTCGCAGTCCCAGGAGCCAAGAGGGGAGGCACGCGTGCCGGTTCTCGGAAATTCATTATGGGAATGTGCGCGTTGTGGAGATGCTCAGACCGCGAACAGTACTGCGGGAACCCAAACGATCATTTTTAACCCCAGACGTCCCTGAACCAAAGCCAAAGTCTACAGGTCACTGGGGCAGAGGCCGCCCGAAACCAGCTGTCCCCTCCCGGCCTAGGCGCGCCAGGTCCCCGCCCAGCCGGGGCGATCCTTTGGTCGGACAGTGAGGTTGGGAGCCCACCGCACCCAAGTGCCGCCGCATCCACCCGGCGCAGGCGACCCCCGACGGGCAGCCGCTCACCTTCTCCTGGCCCCGGGCTTCAGGAAAACTGCCTGGAGGTGGCCGGGGTCTCCCTAGCGGAGGCTGGGCGGCGGGCTTCGCGCCTGCCTCAGTCTCCCAATCCGTGGCCCGGGGGATGGAGCCCGCTGCGCGCAGAGGCTGCGGCAGGTCCCAGCCAGGTGCCCTGGAACGTGGCTCCTCCTTCCCTGAGGCGCTCCCCTGGGCACGAGGATGGGTCTCGAAGCAGGAGGAAGCCGCCTTCCCTCACCCGCTGTCCGGAGCTGCTCAGCCGGTGCGCGGAGCCTCCCCCGCCGCGGACACCACGATCCGACCCCCACCCTGACCCCGACCCAGACCCCCACCGCCCGACCCCGGCCGTATTCCGTTGCGTTTGCTCCCTGCCAGCTCCGGGGCCACCACTGAGCACGCGCTGTGAGTAGGCGCTTCCTGGAGCTTTTCCTGGGGGTCCTCAGAAAAACCCCTGCCGTCCCCATTATAGAGATGGGGAAACTGAGGCTCAGGAAGGCCAGAGCTTGCCCAAAACCTGCGGTCCGCGGCGGGCAGGGATTCCACGCTCCGAGCCTGGCCGCCTCCCTGGGGCGCGTGAAGGGAGCTTTCCTTCCCCGGGAAAGGCCGGGGCCAGAGACCCGCACTCGGACCAGGCGGGGGCTGCGGGGCCAGAGTGGGCTGGGGAGGGCTGGGAGGGCGTCTGGGGCCGGCTCCTCCAGGCTGGGGGCCGCCAGCTCCGGGAAGGCAGTCCTGGCCTGCGGATGGGGCCGCGCGTGGGGCCCGGCGGGGCGGCCTCGGGAGGCGTCCAGGCTGCGGGAGCGGGAGGAGCGGCCGTGCGGGCGCCAGCGCCGTGGGTGGAGGTCGCCGTCCCTCCTGAGGGGCAGCCGGTGCATTTGGGACCCGGGAGCAGAGCCCGCGCCTCCCCAGCGGCCTCCCCGGGGGTCTCACCGGGTCTCCCGAGAGCGGAGGCCCCGGCTCCGCAGAAACCCGGGGCGGCCGCGGGGAAGCAGCGCCCTCAGGCGTCGGAGGAGCCCCCAGAAGGACCTCGCGCCTCCCCGCCGGGCTCCGACCGCCTGGGTTCGGTGCGGGACGGCCCAGGCCGCCAGGACCCCCAAGCGCAGCTCAGTCTGCGGGGCACGACCCAGAGGCCAGCAGCAGAGGACGGGGCCGGGGCCGGGAGAGGGCGGGGAGGGCGCTCCTGGGAGGTCAAGGCCAGGGCTAGGCTTTCAGGGTCATGGCCTGGCCCCTCATCCCCAGGGAGGTGAGGGGGCTCTGTGAGCAGAGGGGCCCCGGTGGAGAAGGCGCTGCTAGCCAGGGGCGGGGCAGGAGCCCAGGTGGGGACTTAGGGGTGGCTGAAGGGACCCTCAGGCTGCAGGGATAGGGAGGGAAGCTAGGGGTGTGGCTTGGGCAGGTGCTGGGGGACCGCGGGCGCCCTTTATTCTGAAGCCGAATGTGCTGCCGGAGTCCCCAGTGACCTAGAAATCCATTTCAAGATTTTCAGGAGTTTCAGGTGGAGACAAAGGCCAGGCCCAGGTGAAAATGTGGCAGTGACAGAGTATGGGGTGAGAACCACGGAGAGAGGAAGTCCCCGAGGCAGATGATGGGACAGAGAGCGGGGACCAGAATTTTTTAAAACGCATCTGAGATGCGTTTGGCAGACTCATAGTTGTTTTCCTTTCACGGAGAAAGTGTGGGCAGAAGCCAGCTCTAAAGCCCAGGCTGCCCAGCCTGCACTGGCAGAGCTGACGGAAGGCCAGGGCAGAGCCTTCCCTCCCTGTCACAGACATGAGCCCTGGAGATCTGGAATGAGGCAGATGTGCCCAGGGAAAGCTGATCCGCCCCGACCCAGGGCCCCCCGGGTGCCCCTTTGAGCGTGGAATCGTTGCCAGGTCATGGCTCCCTGCTATCGAACACCGGACATGGGTCGTGTGCTGCACCTGGCAGTTGCAGGACCGACACCCGCAATGCCTTAAGAGGTGATGACTGCCTTCCAGGGGCCTGGCTGGCTGACACTTTGCATGGCTCCTGGAGAAGAGGGATTGAGTGGAGTCCACGGGTCATGGCCACGTCCTGGGTGCTGCCTCTGAGGCAGGGCCCGGCTGGGGTGAGAAGGGGCTGGAGACAGGTTCCTGCCAGTTCAGCCTCTAACCGGTGGTCTTCATGCCTAGGAACCCACTGGGGGCTTATGAAACTGCAGGTGGCTGAGTCCTTGCCATGGGGTCTCTCCTTCAGCAGGTCTGGGTGGGGCCGGAGACTGTACCCCACAAAAGGTCCCAGGTGAGGCGGATGTGGCCTGGCGCTGTGTGGCTCTGGACCTAGTCCTTGGGCTTGGGCTGGCACCCAGGGCCTGGGCTTGAGACAGCTGTGACGCAGGCAAGCCATTTACCCCGTTTGTGGGGACATTACATCTTCCTAGCTTGGAACACACAGGCAGCCAGGGTTGTTATCCACATTCCTCCTCCATGTTCTTCTCTTGAGAACTTTTACCAGGTATGTCAGGAGCTGGGCTCCACCAGGGAGACTCAAGTGGAAAGCCCTCATCCTTGTCCTCCAGGAGACAGGAAAACCTATGGTTACAATTCCAGGGACAAGAGCGATGCATGTGAGGTGTGGCAAATCTCACTGTTCAACTGGAGAAATCAGAGACAGCTTCCTGGAGGCAGTGACACCTGGACAGGCTTCTCCACAGGAGGAAGCGAGTGAGAGAAGCCAACTGGGATGGACCCATCATGTAGGGGGAACAGTGCGCGCAGAACCAACAACCACCCCCACCCTAGGCCCAGAGCTCACGGAGAGAGCTGGGCCTCTCGGGGTGACTACATAGTTCCCTGCTGGATCTTAGGTCTTGTCCTTGGGCAGCTCTGCTGAGACCTCTATGCCTGTTCCAGGCTGCACCAAGGTTTTGTGACTATTGACCCTTGACTTTGAGTTGGGAGTTGCTGTATTTTTACTAAGGGATGGAGAGACACAGCCCCCAACCCCCAGGGAGCTGGGCTGGCTCTCCTATGGCTCAGCCCATAGCTCCAGCCCCAGGGATGTCCAGAGGATCAGAAAACTCCCTCCCTCCTTTAAAGCAGCTACTGGCAGAGTCCGTGGAGCTCTTGGGGGCTGGGAGACAGGCAGGAAACCCACCTGGCAGGCAGGCAGGAGCCCATGGGGGAGGGTTGATCTTTGATCTTCCTCTGATGGCCCAACGGGAACTGTGAGCACCCAGCCGCTCACTGGGACATCTCGGTGCAGGGAAAGGGCTGAAGCTGGCGCAGCCACGGCAGCATCCCCTCTCGTGGCAGTGCTCCTGAAACAGAGACGTGGTCTGGGCAGCATGCTGAAAGGCATTTCTGAATGAAGCCTCCTACTGACCTAGAGCCAGCACACACCACTCCAGGGGCAGAGAGGAGAGAGCAGGAGCAGGAGACAGTCCAGGGCAGAGGCAGGCTCTGAGTCCATGGAGACCCTCCCTGGGGCACCCCCTGCATCTGCAGGGGTCCAAGCCTAGCACTGGCTCTGCAAGGATTCAGCCACTCATACTGTGCCCCCCCAGCATGGGGCATCTGTGGGTCTCCCTGAAGGTGGGCACCTGGGCAGCCTTCCTGAGGGGTCAGAGCATCCTTGCAGGCATCAGTGATTCCCTCTGTCCCTTTCACCACTGGCCATGGCTGGAGCAGAGCAGCACCGCATGGTTTGGCTCTGGACAGCTGTGAGGCCCCATGAGGCCCAGCATGTCTGCAGGGGCCTCTCCTAGCCCCCTCTCTGCATTCTGAGGCTTCACTTGTTGAACAGAAAGAGGTAGCAGAATCCCAAATAAGAGTGCAACATGTCACCTACCAGCTCCAGCGCCTGGGGGCCAAGTGTGGACTCAGAGCTTCTGTCCAGCAGAGGCCCCTGATGTGCAGCTGCACCGAGACACCCAGGCAGGGCGTCACCTGCAAGGTCAGCTGCAAGGCTGGGACTGGGGTTTGTAATCGCTGTTGTCTCTTGGCCTGCAGGATCCTCACGCGTGCCGCTTCGGTCCTGATGGGCAGGACGCAGGTCTCTCACTAGACCAGTGTTTCCCTCTGTGAGGCCTGGAGAGGAGCCTTCTGGCCACTCCTGGGTACAACACGAAGGGAGAAGCAGACCTGAGTTTTTTATTTTTACTTATTTTTTTTTTTTTGAGACAGAGTCTCGCTCCATCGCCCAGGCTGGAGTGCAGTGGTGCGATCTCGGCTCACTGCAAGCTCCGCCTCCCCGGTTCATGCCATTCTCCTGCCTCAGCCTCCTGAGTAGCTGGGACTACAGGCGCCCGCCACCACGCCCAGCTAATTTTTTGTATTTTTAGTAGAGACAGCGTTTCACCGTGTTAGCCAGGATAGTCTTGATCTCCTGACATTGTGATCTGCCCGCCTCGGCCTCCCAAAGTGCTGGGATTACAGGTGTAAGCCACTGCACCCGGCCAGGCCTGAGCTTTTTATATACACCAACTGCCAAACATTCCACGTGAATTTCCTGAAACTTCTCTTTGGAAAGCTTCTGTTTGTATGTATAAGGCAATGTGCATGCCAGCATGTCAGTTACAGCAGGAGAGAGGGAACAAGCCATGTGGGAACTGATGGAGCCATGTCACATCCAGTGTCCTCTGCAGCCGCTATGGAGTGCCAGGAGGAATGAGGGGCAAATGGTAAGATCTTTATGACGTGAGAGAAGCCAGGTGCGGAGCAGGGAACAGTCAGGTTTAATTGGTGTGAAGAACAGGATCACTGAAAAATATTTTCTCATAGATAAAACTCTTTTTGTATAAAAGTCTACAGAATTGCGATAGGAAACCCATAATCATGGTTTCAAGTGGGCAGAGAACTAGGCTCTGGCGTCAGGGGAGGAAGGGGAACTGTTCACTGTCAACACCTTTTAGGACGTTTCCATTGGGATCGAAGGGTGGCTCACTCTGCCACTTTGACATAAGAATCACTTCTACCTAAGGCACTTGAAAAATGGCACAGGCAAGAGCATCATCGGATCTCTCCTTTTCTTCCTGAAGACAGGAGATAAAAACGCTCAGGTGAAAGATGCCTTCCCTGTACCGGGCGAAGAAAGATTCCTCTACAGGGAAGCACGTCATAGCCAACAGAATTCTGTACAGACATTAAAGTAATTAAAGTAATTCCTGTCGTTCTTAAGCCTCCCCACACGGTTTACTTTTCCACAACTGCCTCTTTGTTCAGCCTCCTGCAAAAGCACATAGGTTTCGTCACTTCTTTGGGTCTTTGCTTCCTTAGGAGGGTCCTGTGTGACATCAAAGTGACATTAAATTTGTATACATTTCTCCTGTTAATCCATCTGATTTCAACTTAGTTCCCAGGCCCAGCCAGGAACCTAAGAGGAGGGAGGTGGATATTTGCCTCCCCTACAGTATCGTGTACGTATATGACTTTTTAAAAAAGAAAATCTGGGGCCACATGGCAGTGGCTCACGCCTGTCATCTCAGCATTTTGGGAGGCTGAAGTGGGACGACTGCTTGAGCCGAGTTCAAGATCAGCCTGGGCAACATAGGGAGATTGTGTCTCTGCAAAAAAAAAAACCCAAAAAATTAGCCAGGTGTGGTGGCACATGCCTGTGTTCCCAGCTATTCAGGAGGCTAAGATGGGAGGATCACTTGAGCCCAGGAGGTCACCATTACAATGAGCTATGATTGCACCACTGTTCCAACTTGGGCAACAGAGTGAGACCCTGTCTCTTAATTTTTTTTTAATTAATTAGTTACCTGATTAACACAGTTCCTTATTGGTGAGGGATTCTCTACTGTGGTCCTTCTGCAGTCCCACCCCATACATGAATGGCTTCTTTTGAAGCTTCCTCCTTTGTACAGGTGAGTATCTTTGTCACTGTCTTACTCTGTTTTGTGCTGCTATAACAGAATACCACAGACTAGGTAATTTATATAATGAACTGAAATTTACTGGCTCATGGTTCTGGAGACTGGGAAGTCCAAGACAGAAGAGCTAGCAACTGGCAAGGGCCTTCTTGCTGTGTCATCCCATGGTGGAACAGCAAAGAGAGGGCAAGAGTGTGCCAAAAGGGGGGCAAACTAGTCCTTTTATGAAAAATACTTTGATAACAAACCCACTCCCATGATAACAACATTAACCCTTTCCTGACGGTAGAGTCCTTGTGGCCTAATCACCTCTTAAAGGTGCCACATCTTAATACTAGTATGATGGCAATTACATTTCAACATGGGTTTCAGAGGGGACCAACATTCAAACCATAGCAGTCTCAAACACTGGGCTGGCAGTGGAAGAGGAGGCTGATCTTTAAAGAATATAAATTTTTTTTTTTTGAGACGGAGTTTTGCTCTTGTTGCCTAGGCCAGAGTGCAACGGTGTGATCTTGGGTCATTGCAACCTCTGCCTCCCCGGTTCAAGCGATTCTCCTGCCTCAGCCTCCTGAGTAGCTGGGATTACAGGCATGCGCCACCACGCCTGGCTAATTTTGTATTTTTAGTGGAGATGGGGTTTCTCCACGTTGGTCAGGCTGGTCTCAGACTCCTGACCTCAGGTGATCCGCCTGCCTCAGCCTCCCAAAGTGCTGGGATTACAGGCGTGGGCCACCACGCCCAGCCAGAATATGTTCTTTAAAAACAGGCACAATTCCATGAAGTAAACTCACATTGGAATGGTTAACAGGTAAAGTGATCCAGCTGGCTGAAACAATAGGCATTCACCGGCATCCAAAGTACATAAAGATGAGCACTTTGAGACTGCGCCACTGCACTCCAGCCTGGGCGACAGAGTGAGACTCTCTCACCAAAAAAAAAACGTGAGCACTTTCACCTCAAGAGTCGCTAGGCTCAGATGCTGAATGCACCCTGAAGGAACTCTAAAGATACCAGCCTCTGGAGTTTTCACAGCCAACAGCATTCCTAGGTAGACTGGTTGAGAACACGGCTAGTTGGAGGGTAAAAAGAATGACTTGTGAATGCTCACTAGGTCTTTGAATATGTAAGTAGACACGACTTCAAGCCAGTTGCTCAGCCTTGAATATATCCTAGAGTCCATCACCTTGGGCTGTGAGTGGCTTGTGCGGTCATCTGTCCATCTCTCAGCTGGGCGAGAAACTTGATGTCCTTTCTGAGAGGTGGCCCTGGCTCTGCCTGGGACCTGCTACTCTTCTCCAAAGTGCATTTTTTGTGGGTGGGTTTTCACTGTGGGTCCTGGGCAGGTGAGTGCTGGTGCCCAGTGTTGGGGAGCAGGGTAGATAGAGGTGTGGCTGCTACCTGGCTGGGCCCGGACTTGGCAGCCTTCCTTCATGGCCCTCAGCCACAGCCTGTTCCATAGTTTGTTCTCGATGTGTCAGCTTTGTGTTCCCATGAGAACAATGGGCTCCTTGAGGACAGGCATTGCATCGTACCTGTGGTCTCTTCCCTAACGCCCCCCAGTACGCCCAGCATAGACAGCACAGGGTGCAAGCAGTCAGATGAGCAGGGCTCCCGTTCCCAGCACGGGACCCAGCCCGTTACCTCGCTGCTATGTTTCCCACGTAAACGGAGCAATACCCAATTCTAAAGAACTGTTCTGAGGACTAAATGGAATAGTGTAAAAAATAAATTGACATGAAGTGAAGGTCAATTAAAATGCACTAGCTTGGCCAGGCGCAGTGTGGCTCATGCCTGTAATCCCAGCGCTTTGGGAGGCCGAGGAGGGAGGATCGCTGGAGCCCAGGAGTTTAAGACCAGCCAGACAACACAGCAAGATCCCGGCTCTAGCAAAACATTAATAAAAATTAGCCGGGCGTGGCGGTGCCCACCGGTGGTCCCACCTTCTCGAGAGGCTGAGGCGGGAGGATCGCTCGAGTCCTGGACGTCGAGGCTGCAATGAGCCGATTTCGCGCCATTGCGCTCCAGCCTGGGCGACAGCGCGAGACTCCTTCTCAAATATAGAATTTTAAAAAGGCCATCTCGACTGCCGCGGGGGTCGCGTCCTCTCCATCCCCGACCTTGGACGCAACCCCGGGCTTGGGTCCCCCACGATCTAGACAGAAACTCGTTGTTTCTCGTGCTCCGCGCCACCCGCGTCCTCCGGTCTGTTTCTCCCAGGTGCGTCGGTGAAAGGCGGAGCGCCGCCACCCTACACCCGCGACCCTGCGCCCGCCCGAGCCGCTTCCGGGTACTTCCGGCGGCCGCGGGGCTCCCGGCAGCCGCGGCTCCTGTTTCCGCCGGGCGGCGAGAACGCAGGACCAGCTTCCGGGAGGCGCTCCGCACGTTTGCCGTGCTCCGCCGGGAAGATGGGGAAAGTGAGGGGGTTGCGCGCCCGAGTGCACCAGGCTGCCGTGAGGCCGAAAGGGGAGGCCGCCCCCGGCCCCGCGCCCCCTGCCCCGGAGGCGACCCCTCCGCCGGCCTCGGCCGCGGGGAAGGTGAGCTGGGGAGGCGCTGGCCGGGGGCTGCCGCGTGGGTCCGAGGGCGGGTGAGCTGCGGGGCGCCGCCTCCGGGAGGGTTCCGCGACCCCGGCCTTCCCTCGGGCTCTGCGGGCATTTGCTGCGCTACAGACGCGACCTTCTTGCTTCGCGAAGCGTCGTAAACTCCGAGGCTCCGCTCTGCGCTGCCGTCCTGGGCACACGGACTCGCGCCGCTCCCGGGGAGGGGAGAGAGCCAGGAACCTCCCGCTGCGGTCCAGGGTTGCCACGCGGACCCCAGAGGTTCCTGAATCGCACTGAGCTCCCCGGAAAGGAAAGGACGTTCCCAGAGTTAGAGAAGAACGGAGAGCAAACTGAAGAGAGACCCCGTTCCCTTTAGCAGTCGGCTGGCCTGTTTCTCCATCCCCCTCAGCCCTAAGCAAGCACGAATCTACCTTTTGTCTTTATTCTAGACACTGCATGTGAGTGGAATTATTGCTTTCAGGATTTTTTTTTTTTTTTGGCTTTTGCCTTAAATATTTTGACCGATGTGTCTTGGTGTAGGTATCTGCATTTATTTTGCGTGTTCACTGAGCTTCTTGCGTGTGTAGGTTAATGTTTTTCGTTACATTGGCAAGTCTTCAGCCATTATTTCCTTGAATATTTTTTTCTGCCCCTTTCTGTCACTCCTCTCTTTCGGATACTTCCATTATAAATATGTACGTCGTGCTTAATGGTGTCCCACAGTGCTCTGAGGCGCTGTTCACTCAGTTTTTCTCTTTTCTTCAGATGGCATAATCTATCTTAATTCAAGTTTACTGATGTTCTGCCAGCCCAGAGGTGCTTTTGAACCTTTCCAGTGAAATTTTCATTTTTTTTGACTCCAGAATTTATTTACTTTCTTTCTCTTCTCCTGTTCCTCCTCATTTTAAAAAATACTCTTTACTGATGTTTTCTGTTTGATGTGAGAATGTCATTATACCTTCGTTTAGTTCTTTAGACACGGTCTCTTTTAGTCCTTAGAAATATTTATAATGCCTACTCTGAATTCTTTACATGTGGGCTGCTCAAAGCAGTTTCTGTTGCCTGGCTCATGCTGGCAGGTAGGAGCAGGTGGGCCTTCTTTGAATGTATCACTTTTTGTGGAAAATTGGGCATTTTGGATAGTCCTGTAGCAACCAGGGATTAGTATCTGCTTGATTACTTTGTTTATTGATCTGGAACTGAACTATGTGACCTCTCTCCTTGTCCCCTTCTGGCTGTGTGCAGCCTCTGATGTGCCCCCTTGGTTTTTTTTTTTTCTTCCTGTTTTTCTCTTTTAGCCTGGCTAGTTGGATCTGCTTAAGCTCCTCACTGGTCAGCAATTGTTCTTAAAGCCTCCTTGGCCAGGGGGTTTTTGCCTTTTACCACTGGATACCTCTGGCTTGGAGGTGGCTGTCAGATTCAGCGTGTTCACATTTTTGACCTTCATTTCTGCCCTCAGAGGCACAGCCAAGGACTAGTAGCTTACAGAGTCCCTCTGCTCACTCCTGGTAGGGTGCGTCCTTGAACATGCGCACAGCCTCCAGACTGCCAGGGATGCGACCTCCTGGGAGTTGTTCCTGGGTCAGAGGGGCTTACTGTCTACCCAGGAGCCTTGGGCACCCTGCCCTCTGCATCTGTCACCACCCAGAGCTCCTTCCTGGTCAGCAACACCCTTAGGCGTGAGAGCCCTCACACGAGCTGCAGACAAGGCGAGTCCCTTCTGGCAGAGCTATGGAGTTCTTCCTTTTTGCAGCCTACCGCTCCTGGGCAAGAGCTCCGTGTCAGGACACCAGAGATGGGGCAGGAGCAGCTTCAGCTTCTCAGGTGACATCTCTCTCTACTAGCAGGAGAGGGGCGTGCCTTTAGTTGTCTTGGCTCATTGAAACCTGTGCCAGCATTTTTTTATTAAGCTCCAAAAATATGCATTAATGAGATATAAAGTGCTACCATGGAGAATGTCCCAGGTACAGTGGGAAAAGCAGTCGTCTGCCGTATACCAACATACATTCATGATCTGGAAGGCTGCATGCTGCACCCCTTGTCCCCACCTGGTCCCTGTTTGCCTGTGAGGCCTCAGCCTACCTGTGCTGCCTCAGCCACCTGCCTGCCCATCTGAAGGCTGCCCTGGTCTCCAGCACTGTTCCCCCGTGAGTCTGATATTTTCCCATGTACCGACTTTTCTGTCTCTGCCACGTAACCCTCCAAGACCAAGGACTTCTCCCTCAGGTGCTGTGGGTGAGGGAGACCAAGGACTTCTCCCTCAGGTGCTGTGGGTGAGAGCACCTGGGGAGTTGCAGTCCAGCCTGGCACCTCTTGGTGCCCTGGCTGCCTTCTACCTCATCTGCATCCTGTCTCCTCTGTAATGTGAAGGAGGCCATGTTTTACCTCTACCTTCAAGGTTTTTAGGTTGGGCCTGAGATTTAGAATTACATAAAACAGATTAACAGGAGAAAAGCGTACCCATTCATTGAAGTTTTATGTGACATGGGAGCCTTATAAGGAAATGAAGACAAGGAAGTGGGAGAACTTTGTGCTTCTTTGAGAGGGTGAGAGGTTGAACGGAGGTGGTTGTGGAAAACTAAACCACATGGGGAGGCTGCAGGAGGGGAGGGGTTGTGTTCACCAGGTGTGTCTGTACAGAGTGCTCTTGGCTCCTCTGATCCATCCCTGATGATAAGAATGTCACTTACCTTCTGGTGTAGGAGGGCATCTTCCATATGGGGGTTTTATCTCCTTTCAGGAAAAACAGGGAGGGGGTTAATATGCCCTCTTGGTACCTGCTATATTTTTAAGTGCCTTTAGCTCAAAATAATTAGTGACATGTTTTGGGGTGGCGTATTCTGACCCCCTTCAGAAACCTCTGTTGAGGTCGATGCTGCCTTCCCTGCCAAGGTCAGTGAGGCTTGCACATGAATGGGCTGGGCAGCACGGGGGTCAGGGACGGGGGGGTTCTGTCTCCTCACGGTTTGGTCGGCAGCTGACTTGGAGGAACTGAAATCTTCATGCAGGGATGAGTGTGGCTCAGAACCAGACCTGGCAGAGAGGCTGCTGAGATGACTAGTTCTGATGGGATGTGGTCAGTCTGAGCTGAAAGAGCTGTCAGGCTGGGAGCTGCCTATCCTTCATCTGCTCAGCTGCAGGTTTCTTCTGTGACACAGGAGAATGTTGTAGAAAGAGTAAGACGAAATGGTTGGGAAGGAAATTTGGTTCTTGAGATACTGGTCCTGACTCCTGAAGAACCAGGAGTGAAGCCCGTCTGGTGATTGAAGGCAGGGAGCAGGTGGGCCTGGGCGCTGCGGGTCTGCCCTGGAGCTCTGGAACCGGAGGCTTCTGCTCTGGGAGGTGAGGGTTGTTTCCCCCAGGTCCTCCCGGGCAGAGAAGCTGGGGAATCCAGGTTCTTGTCTTGCATCTTCTCCTCACCTTTAACGTCCCTCTGAAACCACAGAGCAAGTCTCACACCTCTTCTTTTCGTCCGTTTTTGTTGGGGACATTAGGACTGGGCGTTCATCAACACCAACATCTTTGCCAGGACCAAGATAGACCCCAGCGCCTTGGTGCAGAAGCTGGAGCTGGACGTGAGGAGTGTCACTTCCGTCAGGAGAGGTGAGGCAGGCTCGAGTGCACGGAGCGTCCCTTCCATCAGGAGAGGTGAGGCAGGCTCGACGGGTTACCATGCTGATACCCAGCAGGTCTGGGATTGTTCCCTCAGGCACCCGAGGTCTCAGCAGCTTTCCAGCTAACCTGTACCTGACAATGTCCTTGAGCAAGGGATGCCCCTGGCTGTTTCTTGGGGCGATTCCCCAGAGTAGATTACAGCTGTGGTTTTGCCCCTGGGCTGCATCATGTCTCCGCAGCTCTGCAAGAACTGCTCTGCGTCCTGGCAGCCACGCTGAAGCCACAGGAACTTGGGCTTTGGTGACCAACAGGGTTTGAACTGTTTTCTCCGTGTGTGCTGATTCTTTCGGTCTGTCTGTATGTTTGGGGCAGTTTTGATCCTTTTCTTAAACAAGTGCTTTATGTGTTGCAGAGGTTAGCTGCTTATCATTTTGTACAAATAACTCTTGAGGGTTTAGATCCTGAAGCCGAAGCAGGGTCCTCTCAGTTTCATCAGATCCATGCGCAGCCCTTCCCGTCTCCTGGTTGTGCTCCTTGCAGCCCTGCAGCACACACGTCAGCCTGGCCAGTGAGAGGGTCTGGGAACTCCCACTCACTCCAGTGTCCGGAGCTTAGCAGGGAACGCCGTCCCCCTGCACCTCCTACTGAGTCTGAGGTGTTTTAGAGAGTTCCCGGCCACCATGGTCAATGCTGGGAGTGTTGACTTTCTGGCTGGAGGATGGTGAGCAGTGTCACTTCCCAGGGATAAATCCAGGAAAAAGCTTCCTTCACTCATCTAAGGGAGTCGGTGAGGAGCACAAGGAATACTTTTTACATCTTGACAGCCTTGGGAAGTCATAGGTTGGGGAGGGAGAGGGCCTGGCTGTGGGGGCAGAGCTCAGGGCACCAGTGTGACAGTGAAGACTGCATGTGGCTTCACAGTCGGCAGAGCTGGGAGCGCCAGGACAGGGCAGGAGCCGGGTCTGGGGCCTGTAGATGGCCCGTTAAGATCGTGGGCTCTGGGCCTCTGCCCCTCACCGCCTGGTAGCCTCTGGCTGGACACTTGATCGCTCTGGGCCTGGGCTTTGCATCTGTCAAAGGAGGTAACAGTATTTATCTCCTAAGTTCTGGCAGTTTTGAGTTTGAGATGAGGTAGTTGGTGTGAAACGTTTAAAACAGTGCAGTGAAGGCTGTGGAGGCGCCCGCTCTGCATCTGTTGAACGAGGCTGGTCTGGTGGGAAGGCTGGGGACGAGTGGGTTTTGCAGCTGCCCAGAGGTGGGCCAGCCCTAATTCCTTGGGCACAAGTCATGTGATCACGGGTGCTCTGTGACCCTTAGCTCCATTGTCCACAAAGCGGCGACAGACATAGCTCATAGATGCTAAGGGCCTCACTGTGCCTCTAGAAAGATCCAGGTACATTTAACCAGTGCAGGTTTCCTGCTCCTTCTCTCCAAGGAGGACCTGGTGAGGTGACCAGGCCAGGTAACTCCAGAGAGAAGCTGTGCCTTCCAGCCAGGAACGCTTGATGTGGGTGGTCCGCCCGAGCTGTGTCCCTGGTTGCTGACAAGGCCCTTAAGGCTGTCCCCAAGGGGATGGGAGTCGTGGGTCTCAGTGACCTGGCTCTGGCCTGAGCTTCTCAGAGCTCTTTCACACAGCAGCCTCTTTCCTCTGCCTTTTCTTGGCCCTCTCCCTTCAAGCCCCTGTGGCTCATCTGGTCCCCAAGGTCACCTGCTGCACTGACTGTCACGTCCCCTCTTCCCCTCCTAATTTAGGGAGACGTCACGCTCACGACCCGTCTTGCCTACCAGGGAAACTCCTCTTTAGCAACATCTGGCCTCGCAGCGTTCTTGGGCTGAGGTCGTGCCCAGCAGCCCTGTGGCCTCTCCTTTGAGCCATGCTGGATCTTTGTTTTTGTTTGTTTGTTTTTTGTTTGTTTGTTTGTTTGGAGACAGAGTCTTGCTCTGTCGCCAGGGTGGAGTGCAGTGGCTTGATCTTGGCTCACTGCAACCTCCGCCTCCTGGGTTCAAGTGATTCCCCTGCCTCAGCCTCCTGAGTAGCGGGGACGGGACAACAGGCACATGCCACCACGCCCAGCTAACGCCACCACGCCCGGCTAATTTTTGTATTTTTAGTAGAGATGGGGTTTCACCCCGTTGGCCGGGATGGTCTCGATCTCTTGACCTCAGAGATCTGCCTGTCTTGGCCTCTCAAAGTGCTGGGATTACAGGTGTGAGCCACCACGCCCGGCCTGGTCTTTGTTTTTCGTAAGCTCAAACCTCATTAATTTAGAGTAACTGGTGGGAGAGGGTAGAAGCTTGAACTTTACAATGTCAAAGATTGATTTCAAATTTCAGAACCATGTTATCAGAGTAGAGCATAGAAGTGTTTTCTTGAAATAATTGAACAATAAGTTGAAAAAATTTGAAGATTCTATTGTTTGTGAGTCTGTTGGGTAATTAATTTTTTTCTTAATTCACATACCCTTATTTGTGCATAAAAATCTTAAAGCTTGTGCTGACGGGACTGTAGCGTGGCCCGTTCTGGCGCTCCCCAGCCCTGAGCTCGTGCTGACAGTAGCGTGGCCCGTTCTGGCGCTTCCTGCTTGTGTGCAGGTGTTTCCCATAGCCCGCCTTGAGGGGCACGAGGATGGGAATTATTTGAGCCGTGCGGCAGGGTCAGGGTTTTGGGTGTTGGGGAGGAGCCTTGGCCTGGGGAGGCACTTAGTGCTTCTGGCCAGGAGCCGGTGGCTTTGTGCACTGCCCATGGCTGTGATTTCTGCCTTGGTGCCCCAGGGGGATTCAGGAGAAGGTGCTCCAAAATGGTGCCTTGGAGGTTGTCCCTGAGGTGTGTTCCAGGAGGCTGTCCTGTGGGAGGGGCGTTCTGAGCTCATCGCCGCGGGCCCCCATTACAGCCCTCCTGGAGCGAGGCCTCTGGCCAGCCGTCTCTGGCTGTGGCTCTCAGCCCAGGGTTCTGGTGCATATTCCTTCCACCGCCCTGCTGTGGGTTTTCTGCACTGAAGAGCCCCGGGCTGGATGAAGGGGACCATGGGACCTCACAGAGGGCTCAGACGGAGGGACAGGCCTCCACTTCCCCTGCCCTGGGATGTGAAGCACCAGCTTGGCAGGGTGGCAGGGCCCACAGACCCTCATGGGTGGGACCTGCAGACCCTTAGAGGAGTAGCCCCACAGGCGGAGGGGCTTGCCCTGGTCTGGGGGCCCCAGCCCCTTTTCTTCAGGCCTCCGAGGTATCCAGGCGCCTCAGTGGGGTCCTTTGCATCTTGGCTGCTCCTCACCATGTTCCTCCCTCTCTCCAGGAACAGTTCTGTTTTTTTGGTGTGGTCTCCTCAGCTCCTGATTGGCTGGTGCCCTGCGTCCCTACCCCCACCCCACCCCGGGTTTGTGCTGGGGCCTGAGTGCCCATGTCATGCAGATACTGCATCCTGTGACTTGGCCGCCACCCTTCAATGACCCGCCTGGCTATGGAGGTGAGGTGGCGGCCTGTGGGTGCCTGTCTGCCTGGCTTAGTGCAACACCGCCTTCCCAAGATGTGTCTCATCGTCCGTGCCCTGCCTGAGTCAGGAATAGCACTGCATGCTGCGTCTCTGGCCAAGGAGCTGGGTGGCCCAGGGGAGGGGTCTAGGCTGTGGCCCATCACCTGGTGGACACCCGTGTGCCCATCTGCACCCCTCCTCCCCCACTCTAGCCCTGGGAAGTGGTGGGGCTTGTTAGTCCCTGTGACTGACAAGTTCGTGGCATCGTTCCTATCCTGTGACTGACAAGTTCATGGCATCGTTCCTATCCTGTGACTGACAAGTTCATGGCATCGTTCCTATGTTTTTTTTCAAGCCCTTCGGATCCCAGCTCGCCAGGAAGCCACATCTGACCCCCTGTTCCCTTCCTGTGCCCTGGAGCCTGCCTTACCCTTACGGGCATCCTGGGAGGGACCCTCTGAGCTCTGCAGCCTCCTGCTACGGGAGGAGGAGGGCATGGGTGCAGGGCTGAGGCTGGCCTAGAGTCCCCTCCCCGCCCCAGCTCTCTAAGACCCCCTGCACCTCCCCAGCAGGACTCAGCTTTGCCTGTGGGCCGGGTTGTGCATGCAGGGGCTTTGCGGCAGCCTGTGGACCCCATGTCGGGGCTACAGCTCCTCCATGTCCGCTCTGGGGGTGGCGAGGGACCTGTGGCAGAGCCGGGGTGAGCACCCGTCTCCTGAGCCTCCCCCAACGCAGTGCCACCTGCTGTGCGTGCTGTGTGGCCAGCTCTAGCTGGCTTGTGCAATACCAGAGCCTGGCAGCCGGCCGGGTGTCCAGTGGTGGCTGATCCTCCAGCCTTGGGCACGGCTCCAATCCTTGGCATCGGACATCCGGGGAGCTGGTCATGCAGCATCGGGCGATCGGGCATCCGGGGAGGTGGTCGTGGAGCATCGGGCGGTCCGGGAATCTGGTCGTGGAGCATCGGGCGGTCCGGGGAGCTGGTCGTGAAGCATCGGGCGGTCCGGGGAGCTGGTCGTGGAGCATCGGGCGGTCCGGGGAGCTGGTCGTGGAGCATCGGGCGTCCGGGGAGCTGGTCGTGGAGCATCGGGCGTCCGGGGAGCTGGTCATGCAGCATCGGGCGGTCCGGGGAGCTGGTCGTGGAGCACCGGGCGTCTGGGGAGCTGGTCATGGAGCACGCTTAGAATTGGATTTCTAGTTCTGTGTTCCTTCATACCAGAAAACGAGCCCACCTGTTTTCAGACAGGCACTTGGGACTCAAGCTCAGAGACACAGGCAGGGTGGGGCAAGGCCTGGTATGGACTCAGAGCCGGGTGGGGCTGGGGGCCCCTGGAGCAGAGGATGTTGGGAGGCCTGTCACCATTGCTGGAGAGGGAGCTCACAGCATGGTGGACGGCTTGGGGGCGGTGGGGGCATGAGAGGCGCCGGTGGTGGTACAGGATTTTGGGGGTGTTGCTTTTCTGGCCAGATACCTGTGGCCGGTGGCACCTTTGCTTGAGTTTTGTCCAGGCCCACTGGGCTCATTTCACCTACTTGGCCTGGCAGGCTGAGCTCAGCTCATGCTACTGGCCTGGATCTCATGCCTCCAAGGGAGACTGGAGTCAGGCGTGGAGCGGTGAAGTGTGTGTGTGAGCAAGTGTGGGGTCCGGCCATTGCAGGCCAGCGCCAAGCCACCCTCAGCCCCCGCCTTGGCTTCCTCCCAGAGCTTGTTGATGCCCAAGGTCCAGAGGGGGCCAAGGTGGCAGGGCCTGAGTGTGTGCACACCCGGCCGGGCTCTGACAGCACCTGGGCTCAGCCCCAACCCCCCTTTGAGATTGGAGTGGGCGTTGGAAGCAGGGAGAGGCCAGGCAGCAGGAGCAGGCATCTCTGAGTCTGCAAGGGTAAGAGTGCAGAGAGGCCAGGGTCCCGAGCCCCGACTTGGCTGCTGCTTGCTCCCGCTCCTGCTGGCTCTGTGGAGCATGCAGCCCTGGCTCCCCCTCGCACGGTTTGTGGCCTTGCCCGGGGGCTGCTCCTGATCAGGGAGTGGATTGTGGGCCCTGGGCCCTGGGCCCGGCTGTCAGGAGTGTCGGGCCTGGCAGTCACACCGATGTGGGGTGGATCCTAGGGATGCAGCCCAGGCGGCCCTGCACCATAGCCTCCTCCAGAGGAACCCAGCACCCTCGGCCGGGTGGACACAGGGACCACACTGCTGTCCGGGTCCCCAAAGCGCGGCCCCAGCTCCGCCTACCCCCCAGAACCCTCTGTGCAGCAGCAGCAGGCCAGAGCGCACCATGGAGCCAGGCTCTGAAGCCACAGAGGCCTACTCTTAGACGCCGGGCACAGGGCACCCACCGCCGCCATTGCTGCTCCGGCAGCCACTCCTGCCGCTTCTGCCTGCGCCTTCCGGCTGTGTACGACCTGCTGCTGCTGTCAGTGGAACACGTCTGCGTCTGCAGGCGTGTTGGACTGGGTGACGAGGCCACCAGGCTGTGGTGCAAGGACATCCCAAGCTCCTGCACCCAGCCCTTGGGCAGGGCTGGCTCTCCCGGTCAGCACAGAGCGCTGCCCAGGTGATTGTACCTGCTTAGACCCCACTCCACCCCCAGGCACCTGCGGTGGAGGGACCTGCGGTGGAGGGCGCGACCTTGGCTTCCTGGCCGTCCCTCTGCCCTGGTGATCTGGCCAGCAGAGGGCAGCAGAGCTGTGTCCTTGTCAGGTCAGCCCAGGTGTGGGACAGTCCCGGGATAGAGACGCAGGCTCTCCCTCCTGCCTTGCACAGCGGAGACTTGGGAAGTCCCAGCTCCTCATCAGACAGTACAGACTCTGGGGTTACAGGGTTGTCTTCAGGGATTTTTTTTTTTTTTAAGATAACTGGAAAATGGCAGAAAATGAGCCTTGCCCCACCCTGCCTGTGTCTCTGGGCTTGAGTCCCAGGTGCCTGCCTGAAAACAGAATGAGCTCATTTTCTGCTATTTTCCAGTATCTCAAAAAAAAAAAATCCCTTTTTTAAGACCTTTTTTTACAGTTGTGAAGTCAAGGGTATGACAGGAAACCATGCAGAATGTACTTGTTGCTTATATCTACTCCCAAGTTAAAATAAGAACAAACTGACGGGGAGGTTACATGGAGATGGCTCTGTGGAAGCGAGGCTTGGGGTCAGATGGCCTCGGCTTGGCCGCAGCTCCCTGTGCGTCACCTGCCTTGGCTGCGTGGTGCGGCGGCTGGGAGTGGTGCGCCTTCTTACCTGCGCTCCTGCAGAGAGTGTGGCCGTGCCAGCCGGTATGTTGGGAGCCCAATGACTTGTTTCTTAAGCCAGGCATCCTTGTGAGCCACATGTTGTTGAGACGCTAGACCAGGGGTCGGAGGTGTGGCCTATGCCAGTCCGGCTGGGAGCGTGGCCCTGTTGGTGGCGCTTCTCAGGCCCATGGTCACGCAGTCACATGGTGCCATGCTGAGGCATTTGACTTGGACCAGACATAGTGCTGTTTCCTCCCATCTTAGTGGGAGTCAGGAGCCAGCCAGGGCCTCTGGGGTTCTAGCCTCCTGCACCTCCTTGCCGGCGTCCTCAGGGTTTCTGCGATCAGCTCCTTCATCTGCGAAAGGGGGGTGTCGGGGGGCTGCTGTAGAACTGCTGTGGGTTTATCCTCATAGAACTTTGAGCACAGAGACTGGCCCAGGCGGGTGTGGGCTGCACCTGTGCCTGAGGATCACGGTGACTCCACCTGGTCCCTGTCCTGGAGCACGTGGCGGCGACTGGGTACACGTGTCGTGGGCACAGTGCAGCAGGCTAAGCCTTCATCGGATTAAAGTCGCCGGTTTGATTTAAAGGCCTTAAAAATGGTTTAAACACACAGCAGCAGCAGAACACACAGGAGAAGATTCCTCTGGGCTTGGCCAGCCTCTTCTGTGCCTGTGTCTCATGGCCTGGCTCCTGTTCACTCAGGTTGAGATGAAACCGTGGCTGCTGCCATACTGGGCGCAGAGGAGGCTCCCATCTCCTGGTGGCGCTGAAGCCCACAGCCATCCAAGGGACCAACATCTTGCAGCATCGCGCAGGGAGGTAGGAGAGAGGCAGGGAAAGTGGGCATGGATGGCCCTGGCTTGCTGCACAGCCTGGGAGGAAGCAGGGGGACAGGCTGTGGATGTGGCCCTTGCCGGTCCTGTTCAAGTCCCAGCTCTACCATCTGGATCCAGGGGCTGAGTCCTCAGCGCACGGGGCGAACGGCCGCGTCTTTGCCCACCGTGCCTCACTCACTGTCATGCCTGTGGCTGAGACTTGAAGGTTAGGGATCAACTTTTACCTAAAATTACTTCTGTAGAAAATAACATTTCATGATTGAGAAAGCAGCGCGTATGCACACATTGCAGAATAGACAAATACGCAACATTGGGAGATAAAAGCCAGGCCCTGCCCCCGGAGCCGCCCGAGCGCGCTGTGTGGGCACCATCTCTCACTGCCCGAGGGCACTGTGTGGGCACCATCTCTCGCCTACAGGTGTTCTCGCCCAGGCCTGCTGCACGTGCCAATCACTAACCGGGGCGGGGCATCTCAGGAAAGGCCCTTAGCTAGCAGTGTCTTCAGGAGCCCTTGCTGCTCTTTGTCCGAGCAGGGTTCGCCCGTCGTGTGTGGGTTTATCCTCATAGAACTTTGAGCACAGAGACTGGCCCAGGCGGGTGTGGGCTGCACCTGTGCCTGAGGATCACGGTGACTCCACCTGGTCCCTGTCCTGGAGCACGTGGCGGCGACTGGGTACACGTGTCGTGGGCACAGTGCAGCAGGCTAAGCCTTCATCGGATTAAAGTCGCCGGTTTGATTTAAAGGCCTTAAAAATGGTTTAAACACACAGCAGCAGCAGAACACACAGGAGAAGATTCCTCTGGGCTTGGCCAGCCTCTTCTGTGCCTGTGTCTCATGGCCTGGCTCCTGTTCACTCAGGTTCACTCAGGCCTTTGTGGGCCGTGCAAGTCTGGATCTCACCGGCTTGCCGAGGTCCCTGGGCCGCTGTCTTGGGCTTGCGCTGCTCGCCCCCGGGAAGCTCAGCCACTGCCTTTTTCTATTTGCCAGACAGCAATCGGCAGCTTCCCTGGCCACTCAGGGAGTGACTCCTCCTCATCAGAGCTGTCTGCTGTCAGGGCTGATGTTTAAGTTGTTTCTGGAACTTTCACATCAGAGTGTGTGGCCTGATCACCTTGGGCCTGGCCTGGGGATTCCCGGGGCCGCCTTCCATCACCAGAAGGTTGGCCCCAGGGCCCTCCTTCTCCCCTGCAGGTCTGGCCCCAGCTGCTTCAGGACCGCCCTCCCATGGGGGATGCTGTGCCCAGCAGAGGTCTTTTGGCCGAGTGGACAGTTGGGGTTATGTGGCCCCACGCCCAGCAGAGGTCTTTTGGCTGGGTGGACAGTTGGGGTTGTGTGGCCCCACGGGACCCTCCCTCGTTTGGGGTGCTGCTATGTGGGTGTCCGTGTCATGTGCTCCGGGCGCCCCCCTGCCTAGGAGACGGCGGGGCAGTGTCTGAGCATGTGGGTTGCTATTTCTGAACCTGGCACTTGGAGCTCGGTGGCTGGAGCTATTTAAGGTTCTTGACATGTTCGGTTGGTGGGGCCTGGCTGGCAGCATCCTGCTGAGGCCATCTGCACGTCACTGTCCTCATCGACAGCTGGGGTGGGAGGGCAGCTGAGTGTTTTCAAATGGAAACTTAGGGGTGAGCAGGGAAGGGCTGGGGCCCCAGGTGCCACTGTATTCTGGGTGTGGCACTCATTCTGACTTGCAGGTGCCATCCTGAGACTAGGAGGTCCCCAGGGCCCTGCCTCTGGCAGCCTCCCCCTTGGCATCCCACCTGGTGTGTTTTCCAGACCCCGCCTGGCAAGGCCCAGGCCGAGCCTGTGCAGCAGGCTCTCCTCATTCACTCCTCAGACACTACTCCTCATGGGAGGTGGCAGCGAGTGCCCCCCGGCTACAGGGCTATCCCTTCCTCTGTGGGCGCGTGGCCGGCCTGTCATGTTCAGGGGCCCTGGGCACTGTGGTTTTCTGATGTGTGCTTGTCTGAGGTGTAGGCAGGTCGTGGAGGCTGTCTTGCGAGGTTCCCTAGGTGGGGCCCCCAGACTAGCTGAACCCACCAAGAGCTGCGAGTGGCTGTACCTCCCAGAGCAGGACGCCTCTAGGTGAGCAGCACAGCCACTCCCTCGGGCACCATCCCCGGCGGTGGGGCCCTGCGTCCGGGCCTCGGGAGCCTGTCCTGCACCATCCCCGGCGGTGGGGCCCTGCATCCGGGCCTCGGGAGCCTGTCCTGCACCATCCCCGGCGGTGGGGCCCTGCATCCGGGCCTCGGGAGCCTGTCCTGTGTTGACTTAGGACTGAAGCAGTTCTCTGGGGCTTCTTCCTTTCCAGGTGGGATGGGGTAGTTTGGGCAGATGCTGAGGACACAGGCCAGGTGTGGCTCAGGAGGCCAGGAGTGCCCTCTGGCCCCGCAGCCTGGGTTCCTCAGTGCAGTAGCGTGACCTTGGCGCTCTGCATTCAGCGTCCCTGGGTCGTGCCACCCCCCGGGGAGCTCTTGGCCATGACTGCTCTTCCCTGCGGTGCTGCTGGTACTTTCCTCGCTGCAAACCTCGGCCGCACCCCAAGGCCTTGCTGAAGCCCTCAGTCCCAGTAGCTGTTGATCCTTTGGCATTTTCTGCATCATGACCATGCCATGTATGGGGACGGCGGTGGTTCTGTCTCTTGCTTCTCCATTCTTAGGCCTTTGACGTGTTTCTCTTGCCTTGTTACCCTGGCTGGGAGCTCACAGGACAGCAAGAAGCCACGCTGCTCCCGGGGCACATGCTACATCCACCATTGGCTGCACTGCCCTTGGGGTTCTGGAGGGTCCTTGTGGGGTGAGCTAACACTGGGGGTGGGTGTGGAGTGTGCCAGGAGCCTGCTGCTGTGTCTGTGGAGAGAATCCTGTGGGGTTTGGAGTCCACGTTTCTTGTTTGTATCAGCTCCATGACACTTGCAAGGCCAGATCCCGTGGACTCTGCGTCTTCTGGCCGGTGGGTTGCTGAGGGGAGCAGAGGGGCCGAGCGTTGTGTGGGTGCCGTGCACAGGCTGTCTCCAGTGCTCCTGGGTACCCTTCTCTCAGGGGCCCCGTCTCCCAGGCCACCTTCTCTCGGGAGGAATGTCGAACCCCTGGCTGGGGTGGATGGTGTTGGCTGGAGGGTGGGGGCTGCCCGATGCAGCACTTTGGGAGCTCCGGCCGTCGGCAGGTTTGTCTGTGGTTTTGAATGTCCACCCTCAGGTCCTGGGAGAAGGGAGTCGAGGTGAGCCGTTTGCCTTTCCTCAGGACTGCGGAGGTGGGCACAGGGCCCAGTGGTGGAAACGTCCTCCGGCCCTGCAGCCTGGGCTCCTCAGCACAGTAGCGTCACCTTGGTGCTCTGCGTCTCAGTGTCCCTGGGTAGTGCCACCCCCCAGGCGCTCTTGGCTGTGACTGCTCTTCTCTGCGGTGCTGCTGGTACTTTCCTCGCCACAAACCTCGGCGGGGGGTGTCTGCCGATGCGGACCCTGGATGGCGGTGCCTGGTTTGTTCCAGTTTTGTTCCAGGACACTGTCTTTGACCAGGACAATTTGTTACCAATTTTTAAAAAGGTCTTTGGGTTTTTCTTTAAAATGGACACCTAATGACAAACATGTAGTATAAAGAAGGAAGAGGCCGGGGACGGTGGCTCACACCTGCAGTCCCAGCACTTTGGGAGGCAGAGGCAGGTGGATCACTTGAGGTCAGGAGTTTGAGACCAGGCTGGCCAACATCATGAAAGACCCCGTCTCTACTAAAAATACAAAAATTAGCTGGGTGTGGTGGTGTGTGCCTGTAATTCCAGCTGCTCCGGAGGCTGAGGCAGGAGAATGGCTTGAACCCAGAAGGCAGAGATTGCAAGATCGTGCCACTGCGCTCCAGCCTGGGCGACAGAGTGGGACTTTGTCTCAAAAAAAAAAAAAAAGAAGTAAGAAAGCTTGGAAAACAGAGAGAGACAGGGGCCCTCCCGCTTCCCCACTCCTAGTCCCCTGTGCTCCTGCCGCTTCTCCCCGCTGCCGCGGTGCTGGGCACGTGCACCACCCCCTCACATGCTCGCCCACCAGCGCTCCGAGGGAAAGCTGTGCTTTCTCCAGCTTATTCCTGCAGCACTGCCTCTACGTGAAGTTGTGCAAAGTGGCACATGATAGATACCATGAAAAACTCAATGCCAACTACCGTTAAGTGACAGCCTCCCCACTGCAGACTTGGTCTGTCTGCTCCTTTCTTTTTTTTTGTGAGTCAGTGTCTTGCTCTGTCACCCAGGCTGGAGTGCAGTGGTACAATCTGGCCTCACTGCAGCTTCGACCTCCTGGGCTCACGCAATCTTCCCTCCCACTTTGGCCTCCTGAGCAGCTGGGACCACAGGCACGTGCTGCTGCTCCCGGCCCCCTCTTTTCTTTACAAGTGTGTGTCTGCCCCTGCTGCTTCCCTGGGCTGCGTTCTAAGGCAGCCTTACATCACGGCTGCTGAAGTTTTGTTGTCCGATGCACCCAGCTCTATAGGGAGTGTGGGCCATCCTTGAAAACGGAGTAAAGACATTTGTAGATCAAACCACAGCAGTGGAGTTGCTGATCCAGTCTGATGAACGTCTGATACTTCACAGGCGTTACCAGGTTGCCTACTGCAGACACCGCCGGGAGCAGCACCCAAGTCGGCCTCCGCCTGCGGCCTGTACCTTTGGAGGATATGGACGAGGTGTCTGCTGATGCGGACGCCAGCCTGCGGTGCCTGCTTTGTAAAATGCGCGGCTTTTCATCAGCAAGGCTACATTCAGCCTTCATCGCTGTGAGCTGCCTATATGTGCCTTTTCCTGTTTTTCTTTTCGGCTGTTGATTGGTTTGAAAAAGCTATGTAGGAAGGAAGCAATCTCTTGTTAACTGCAGCTGTCTCCCCCTCGTTGGTAGTTCTTTTGAATTTGTTCATGTTATTTTTTTCTCTGCGGAGGTTTAAAGTTTCTCTGTAGCAAATTCGGTGTTTTCTGTGTCTTTTGTGGCCCCTTTGTGTCCTCTGCAGTGGTTTTGTAGTAGTGCCTTTTTAATGTATTTAATCCATCAGGACTTTATTTTTGTGTATAGAGTGAGACGGATGATTCCCACTTCATTTTTCCCCAAACGGCCTGTCCCACGATGCATTTCAGCTTGCATTCACCCAGAAGGCGTGGCGAGAAGAACCTCGGCACCACGAGATGCTGCTGGCATGTGCCGCTTCAGCTGGTGACCTGGGTGGTGTTGGCAGCATCTGAGTGGCTCTGTAGGCCGCAGCATCTCCCGGCACCCGAGCCCGAGATGAAGCAGCACGTGCCAGCAGCATCGCGTAGTGTGTTCTGTCCTGAGCCTCATGCAGATCTTTGTGGAGTGAGAATCAAGGCTTGTTGATGGCGTGCACGGAAAAGCCGGTCTCATGCTGATTTTCCTTAGGGTCCATCAGAACACGTGCCCCGTGAACCGTGTCACCCCACGGCCCAACTCTGGTGAGCCTGGTTCTGTGTCTGCTGACCTGGTGAGGGCTGGGGACCAGGTGAGTTGCCTGCGGCACAGGCGTGCTGTGTAGCTGCCATGTGTGGCTTCCTCCACTGAGGCTGGTTTACCGCGTCTGTTCCCGGGGCCCCTTTGTTAGAGCGCAAGAGCCCAGGCAGCACCGTGGCAGCTGGGAAGGCTGTGGTTCTGGCGAGGCGGTTGCCTTGCCCAGTGTACCTGGAATTGCAGCTCCAGAGCACGGGCCCTGGCTCCTGCGCGGCAGCGTCTCACCTTCCCTTTTCTTGTCAGGGTTTTTAGGCAGCCTGTACCTGCGTGCACCCATCCCTCTCTCTGTGCGGGGCCATTCAGCTCATGCTGCAGGTTTTTGCCGGGCCGGCCGGCGTTCCAGGGACCAGAGCCACCCCCAGAGCTCTGTGATGAGTCAGCTCAGGGCAGGTTTCTAGTCACTCCCCAAGGGCAGGGCTGAGGCGGGGTCTTCCAGAGTCAAGGGTTAGAGGGGCTGTTCCTTGAACGGCCCTTGAGTCCTCCTCAGAGTGCCTCCCACTGGGCCAGAGGGGCTGTCCCACACGGTCAGTCCCCACACGCTGCTCGTGAGCCCGGTGCCTCTATGCAGATCGCTCCGTGGCAGCTGCATCCTGGGCTCCTGAAGACTCAGGCAAGGGCACGGCTTCTCCTCATCCTCCTCCTCTTCATCTCCACCATCCATCTGCCCTGTGCCTTGCAGTCCAGCTCAGATACAGGCGCTGTGGCAGCCAGGAGCACCCTGGATACCACCGGGTCCCAGGACCCAGATCGCAGGAGCCACCTCATGCCCTGCGGCCTTGTCTTTCACCCTTTGGGCTTGTTCACTGCCAGTAGCAACAGGTGGCCCCAGAGGGTTCCACCGAGTGTGAGGGGGAGTGGATGGCACCTGCAGCATGTTCCCCCACAGGGAGGCCTGGGCTCTGTCTTGGGGGGGTCCTGTCTCGGTTTTGTGGGGAATGAGGGTATGAGCACCTCGTCTAGCCTTGCCTCAGCCACTGGCTGGGGTTCTGTGAGGTTCAGTTTAATGGGGACTTGCCCGTCTCCTGACACCTTTGAGCTGTGGACTGAGCGGGCCAGAAGGAGTGGCAGTGTGTGAGCCGCCCGTGCAGCAGGTGGCCTAGGATGTGAAGCAGACAGGGCACAGAGGAAGAAGCCTGTCTGCCTAGAGCGGGAAGCCGAGGTCGCAGCCGCCTCTGCCCTTCTGAGTGTGCACCCTTCTGTAGCCTCAGCTCGGCTGGCCGGCGATTGTATGAAGTCGTTTTTACTGTCAGCTCTGGCTTGGTATTCCTGGTGCCCACTCGGACTTCAGGCCCTGTGTGAGGAGCTCGGGCTCGGCGGATGACCTGCCTCAGGTGTGGCCCCTGCTGCCGTCACTTTGTCACTAATCAGACGTGTTTGGTGACCTTCCCCTCCCCATAGCCACTGGGGCTGTAGTGCTGGTGCTGCTGGGATCTGGGTTTGGGGCGAGGCCCAGGACAGTAGCAGCTCCCGACACCCTTGCTTGAGGCCCAGCATCTGCACTCCCAGCCCGGCCCTCCTCCAAGCTGGCATTTCTGCTGCACCCACGGGACGCTCCTGTGCTTCCGCAGCACCGGCGAGAGCTGTGGTGTGCTGGCCTTGTCGTAGGTAAGTTTAGAAACCGGAGCAGCTCGAGCGGACTTCACACTGTCCCCACCACAGGGTGGGGTGCGCCCACCTGCCCTGTCCATGTGGCCTTGGGCCTGCGGGGGAGAGGGAATCAGGACCCACAGGGCGAGCCCCCTCCGTAGCCCGCGGCACCGACTGGATCTCAGTGAACACCCGTCAGCCCATCCAGAGGCTAGAAGGGGGAGCAGGCGTGAACCTGTGCCGGAGCACTTCAGCAAGGGCGCCTTGGGCCCGGAAAGCGGCGGGAGCTGGGGGTCGTGGGGCCGCCGCCAGCAGTTCCAGGCGGCCTCTGCTCCAGCTGCAGCATTCCAAGCCCTCTCCTCCTGCAGGAGCAGCGTGTTTGGTTCCTGTTGTCCTGGTGCCATGGCAATGGGGCTGGGGAGCTCCCTGGGGCCAGAGCCGGGAAGGATCACTGTGCTGTGTTCCTGACCTGGCCTGCGCCCAGGCCTCGTTTTCTTCATTCCAACACAACACAGGTCACTGTTCGGGTCAGTTTCCACTGGTCTTAGATTCATTTTTCTTTTGAAACAATTTCAAAACTACAGAAAAGCTGCAAAATCAGCCCCTCCCCTTTGTGGTCGGGAGGGAGAGGTTGGGATGCTATGGAGGAAAGTAGGTCAACCCAGGCACACCAGGAAGCTGTGGGAGGGGATTAAATCCTGCGGGAGCCCTGGGCCTTGGAGGTTTCACACCGGCTCCTGAAGTGAAGTCTGAAATGCAGAGCGCAGCGACTGCCTTTCTCCAGGCAGGGCTTGCTTCTGCTTTGTTTTTCATTAGACATGGTGGATTTGTTGGACAAGCCAGGAAGGTCTGCATGAATTAAAAGAGATACTGGGAGATGTGTTCTGGGGAGAATGCAGCCGAGGCTGAACCGTCTCGGGAAATCAGTTAAGGCCGAGGAAATGGGGGTGCCCTTGAGTCCACTCTGTTTCAGAGCAAACTGGAGTCAGAGACGCAGCACCCAGTGCCCTCTCCACCTGTCCCCACCTGCACGGCCCTGCAGGCTCATCCCACCCCTGCCCCTGTCCCCCCAGCAAATGAGCCTCCTTTCCCCGCCCACCGGGCAGGTGGCTGGGCTCCGCGTGGACCAAGCACAGGGGCACCTGTGGAGTTCACTTTTGGAGGCTCCCTGAGAGGGCCGCTTTGTGGGGTCCAGGGATGAAGCCTCTGGTCACCGAGCACATTGTCGGGCCTGGCAGGGGGCAGGGAGCACGTACGTCGCTGGGCCTGACGTGACCACACAGGATCTTGGGGATGTCCCCCTAAGGGCCTCTGTCCTGTTCGTGGCCCCCTTCATGAGCCGTCGGGCATTCCTGCATGGCTTCACTGCAATGACTGCCCTGACAGTCATTCGGGGCATGAGTGGGGAGGAGGCCTCCTTGTTGGGACACCTGCTTTCCGGGGCAGGCTGGGGTGAGTGGCCAGGCCATCACTGCGGGGGGACGCTGCTGAGAGAGCCTCCTGAGGCCGGGCCGAGGCATGCTGCAGGTGCCCCTGGTGCTGTCCAGAGCCGGGAGTCTGAGAGGCTGGCACAGGCCAGACCAGTTGCAGTGACTGTGGCAGCTCTGCAGTCAGGACCCGCCCCAGCCCATTCTCAGGTCATGGGAGTGCCACCTGGACACGTTTTGCTCACTCCCGTGTTCTCTTTCCTCAGGTGCAGAGGCCAAGACCGTTTTGCCCAAGAAGGAGAAAATGAAGCTGAGGCGTGAGCAATGGTTGCAGAGTAAGTCCATGCCTGCGTCTTGAGGCAGCTGCCGGCCCAAGTCCCATCCCGTGGGCCCTCCTATTCCTACAGCCTCACATCTGGCCTTCTACATCAGCCACACTCCCCGAGGAGTGCCCAAGGGGATCACCCAAGACACTTCAGAGGCTGCTGTGGGGGCCGAAGGACAGTGGAGGCACAGAGAGGTTGGCCATGAAGACTTGGCAGCATGGCCAAGCTGGTCTGGCCTGTTGTGGATGGCACTGCCACCCCGTCCGTGTGGGCACCTGCAGAGCTGGGCTGCCTCCCTTTGGAGGACGGCCTTGGGAAGCTGCTGCTCTCGGCTCCTTGTTTGTAAAAATTACCTATTTTTGTTCCCCACCGTGAAATTTTTTATTGTGGAAGTAACCTGTGCTCGTGGAGTTTTTATGGTTCAGAAGTGCCTGCAGTGGTATGTGAAATCCTTCCAGGCCTTGCCCGCGGTGAAAACAGTGTCTGCGCATAGCGGCGTGGGTGTGGGCAGGGCCCCTGGTGTCCCCAGACCCTTTCAGGCCTGTGGCTCCCTCTTTTCTGAGGTCAGCCTTGCCACGTGCTCCCAGCTGCACGTCTCCGCAGGCTGAAAGCCACACTTCCCACTCAGGTTGTTTTGGAGTATCTCCTTATTTTTCGTGATGCTGGATATTTGCCAGTGTTTTTCTAAGATTGTTTCTCGTCAAAATTATTTTGTATTTTTCGGTTATCTTTTTAGTGTGATTCTGCTGACTTTGTGAAATTAATTTGGAATATTTTCTTTTTTATGTTATCTGCTTTATTTTTTCCTTGGAGGTTTTAAAGAAAATGTATGTTTTTCAGAGGTAGGACCTAGAAAACTTTGTCAGTTTCTTTTGTGATTATTAGTTTTATGGTTTCTATCCCTTTTTGGATATTTCTTAGGGAAATGATTCATTCCTCCATTTTCTTTTTCACAGTTCCTAGCATAGCTGTGAAAGTGGATTTGGACGGGCTACTGGACTGTGGCCATTTGGACCCTGATTTTCTAGGCTGTAATTCTTTGATGATGTGTAAATTTTATTCCATGGCACTTGGTCCTTTTTTTTTGTTTTTTCACAACTTGAGTCAATTTTGGCCACTCATAAAATGATCGAATTTGTCTGAGGATGGTGTCTCATGCCTGTAATCCCAGCACTTTGGAAGGTTGAGATGGAAGGATCACCTACGCCCAGGAGTTTCAGACTAGCCTGGGCAATATAGCGAGACCTTGTCTCTACAAAAAATGTAAAAATTAGTCAGATTAGGTGGTGTATGCCTCTGAGCCTCTAGTCCTAGCGACTTAGGAGGCTGAGGTAGGAAGATCGCTTCAACCCAGGAGTTTGAGGCTGCAGTGAACCGTAATTGCACTAGTGCACTCCAGCCTGGGTGACAGAGTGGGTCCTTGTCTCTAAATAATGTTAATGATCAAATTTAGTCAGATCTCAATCTTCATATGTTAGTTGCCTTCTTATTAAATATTCTGTTTTCTTTATCGTTCTTTATTTGTATCTCCACCTTCATTTCTGATTAAATTAAGAAGTTTTGTCTCTTCCATTTAATAATTAATGTATTTAATAACCAATTCTACTCTTTTGTCTTCAAAATTATTTGTTTTTATTTTGATCACTCCCGTTTTAGCTTTCTTTGGGTTTCAGTTACTCTGCTTATCTGTTTGTATATGTTTTGTTCAGGAGTGAAAGGCTGTAAGTTATCTCTAAATACAGCTTTAGCTACATTTCCCAAGTTACTTTTACTTTGTATTTTATTATGAAAAATTTTATTTAGGAAAGTGGGAAGAATTTTATAGGGAATACCCTGTACCCACCACACAGATTTTACAATCTTTATTACATAACCGTTCATCTAGCAGTTTCTGTCCATCTACCAACATGGGTTTTTAAAAATGCGTTTCAAAGTAAATGGCAGACATCAGTACACTCCACCCCAAATAATTCTGCTAGAGTTCATGGTTCTTTTTTTTTCTTTTTCTTTTGAAGATTGTATTTACATAAAATGAAATGCAAATCTAAAGTGTGCCATTCAATGATTGCTGACAAATGTTGTAGACACCTGTGCAGCTGAAATCCTGTTCAGGTTATGGACCATCACCACCATTCCCCGACAGTCACGCACCCCCCCAGTCAATTACCTCTCCCACTGGCCCCAGAGGTAACAACTGCTGTGTCACCCTTTGTCGTCCACAGTTGAGCTTTTCTTGCCTTAGACTCTGTATAAATGGAATCATGTAGGATGCACTCTTTCTGCATCTGGCTGCTTTTGCTCAGCGTAATGGTTTTGAAACCCATCCAGGCTGCATGTAGCAGCAGTCCATGCCTTTTGATTGCTGAGAAGTATTTCATTGTATGAATACACCATTTGTTACTCACTTTCCTGCTGATGGGCACCTGGGCTTTTTTCCATTTTTAGCTACTGTGAATAAGGCTGCTCTGAACATTCTTTACAAGTCTTTTTGTGGACATGTTTTCGTTTCTCTTGGGTAAGTGCTGAGGAATGGAATGCTGGGTCATAGGGTAGGTGTATGTTTAGTTTTATAAGCAGCTGCCAGACGCTTTTCTAGAGTGGTTGTACACTCACACTCCCACCAGAGCCTGTGAGAGTTCTCCTGGCCCTCAGCTTTGCCAACACATGGCCTGCCGTCTCCTCAGCCTCGGCCGTCTGGTAATCATGAAATGGTATCTCACGGTGGTACTCATTTCCGTTGCCACCAAAAGAGCATTTACATGTGCTTACTGTCCATTTGTGTTTCAGCGTCAGTGAAATTCATTTTTCATGAGGCTTTTTGTCTTTTTATTATTGAGCTCTAAGAGTTCTTTGTCCTAGAGTCCAGTCTTTGGTTGGATATGTGTTTTACAGATGTTTTTCCCAGACTGTGACTTGCCTGTTCATTTTCTTTCTTTTTTTTTTTTTTTGAGATAGAGTCTTGCTCTGTCGCCAGGCTGGAGTGCAGTGGTGCGATCTTGGCTCACTGCAAGCAACACCTCCTGGGTTCAAGCGATTCTTCTGCCTCAGCCTTCTGAGTAGCCGGGACTACAGGCACCCGCCACCGTGCCCGGCTAATTTTTTTGTATTTTTAGTAGAGATGGGGTTTCACCGTGTTAGCAGGATGGTCTCGATCTCTTGACCTCGTGATCCGCCCGCCTTGGCCTCCCAAAGTGCTCGGATTACAGGCGTGAGAACTTTTTTTTTTTTTTTAAATAAACGAGAGTTTAATTTTGAGAAGTTTAATTTATATTAGTTATTGTGTGTGTGTATATGTATGTGTGTGTGTCCTATTTAAGAAAACTTTGCCTAATCCCAAGTCATGAAGATATTATTCCTGTTTTCTTCTAAAAACTTTATAGTTTGAGCTTTCATATTGGTTTTTTTTTTCTATCTTGAATTGTTTGTCTATGTGGTGTTAGTGGTTAAGTTCCTTTTTTCCCCCTAATATGGATATTCAGCTGTTCCAGCACCATTTGTTATAAGTACTTTTCTTTCCTTATTGGATTGTTTTGTTGCCTTTGTGAAAAATCAGAAAGTCTCATAAGTGTGGATCTGTTTCTAGGCTGTCTTCTGTTCCATTGATCTATTTGTTGTACCTTAGCAAAAACCAGACTGTCTTGATTACCATAGCTTTAGGATTAATCTGGAAGTCAGATAACATAAGTCCTTTTTGTTGGTTCGTCTGTCTTGAGGTTGTTTTGGATATTCTAAGTCCTTGGCATTTCCATATAAATTATCATTAGCTTGTCTATTTCTTTAAAAACAACAACAAAAACCTAGTGGGGTTATGATTGGGATTTCATTGAATCTATAGATCAGTTCAGAATTACCATCTTAGCAAAGCAGATCTTCAAATTCATGAACATAGTATATCTCACCATTTAAATTTCATCATCAATGTTATTCAGTTTTAGTGTAGAGATCTTACATCTTATAATAAGCTTATTGCTAAGTATTTTATAGTTTTTTATGCTGTCATAAATGCAGTTTTTTCTCAGCTCTCTGCTAGTATGTTAAAATACAATTGGTTTTTTAAAATACTAATCTTGTATCCTATGAATTTACTAATATCATGCATTAGGTCTGGTAGTCATTTTGTAGATTCCTTAGGATCTTTAGAAATGCATGTTTTCTGTATGTGTGGATTTTTTCCCTCAATTTGCTTTTTTTCCCCAATATGTGTTGAAATTTCCCCTGTGGATCTGCACGCGCCACCCCACCTTGCCTTTATGAGGACAAGCTTGCAAAGTTTGTCCTTGCTGTTCCTCCCGTTGCAGGGCCCTCCCACTCCTGGAGGCCTCCCCCGGTCACTCTCCATCCCTTGCTTTGCTTTGTTTTGTCCACATACCTCCCCAGTGCCCAGGTAGCGCCTCTATGCTCCACCACACAGCCTGTGCCCCAGCCGTGCCGTGGACAGTGGCTCCCCATGCCCTGTGGGCGGGAGGGTGGGTAGTTGGAACCACACACATGTCCCACTTGACTTTCCCAACCCTCAGTTGTCCTCCAAGGCGGCTGGGCCAGTTCACACCCACCCATCAGCTCCCTCCGTCCTCGAACACTCGATATTATGAAACATTTAAAAATTTGCCAGTCTATGAGGTGCAACATTTCCTTGATTTCTAATCCAGTCGAGTGGCTCCTGCTGTATTTTTTGGCCTTTGATTCCTCTTTGTTTTTAGTATTTAATTCATACATACTGATTTTTAGGAACAGTGTGAGAGGGACTCTGACTCTTTCCCCAGGAGGACCCCAGTTTATCTAACCTCACGTGTCATGCTCACACTTTGCCTGGTCTGCCCTGCGTCCACTGAGTGTTCATCAGCACTTTTGCCACGCTGTTAATTTCTGTTATTTTATAATTTGCTTTAATATCCGATAGCCCTACTTTCTTGTTGCTTGTTCTTTGTAAAAAATGTTTTTACTATTCTTATGCATTTAGTTGTTTTTAAAACATAAAGTTTAGAATTAGCTGCACAGGTTTGACTAAAAATCCCGTTGAAATTTTAGCTGAGGCAGCATCCGATTTTTCCGGAGTAACTGACAGAGAAGAACTGCACTCTCCCGTTGGTTCTCCTGGCTGCTTGGAAGCTGGTGTTTGTGTGGGACCTCCCCTAGGTGCTGCAGATGAGAGCAGTGCTGAGTGTTCCCAGGCCGTGGGTCCCGCCCCGCCACTGCCTCGCTCCCTCCCTCCCCCTCAGAATTGAGTGGGCCGGGTGGGATTGTCGATATTGTGGTCATCTTTTCCTTGCTCGGATTTATCATTGAGTGTCTAATGTTTTGCCCTGAAATGTGATACTCACTGTGGGTTTCTAGCAGCTCATCTGTCAAGGAGCTTCCTTCCGTTTGTGGTTTCATTGTAATTTTTCTCATGCGTGGGCAGTGAATTGTGCAGAATCCTCTGCACACTGGTGGTGGTGACCATAGGCTTTCTTGCCTCTTGAGTGGCCACTGTGGAGGGTCACCCTGAGGCATTTCCCGGGAGAACCATCCTTGCATGCCTGGGGCTCACCCTGCTTGGGCACAAGGTATCCTTCTTTTGAAAGGCTTCTGGCTTTGGCTTGCTGAGGTGCGGGCCTTTGTGTCTGTCCTCACGGGAACCACATGCCTCTGCTTTGCTTTTCCTGGCCTGGGTCTGCAGCCTGTGAAGGAGCCATCTGGCCTGGCCCGCCCCTCCCTACCCCAGCTTCCAGGGTGCCCTGGCTCTCTTTTAATGAGGTGCCGAGTAACGTGTCTACCACAGTCCAGGCAGGGTGGAGTAAGCGCTGGATTCTTACCTTATAAACCCCCGTGATTCCCAAGGCTGTGGAGAGCTGGTGTACACCTTCCAAGCTCTCAACCTGCACTGGGGGCTGAGGACCCAGAGGAAGGGTGGTCTTTGTCCCAGGTTCTTGTCAGTGATTTGGAGCCAGGTAAACACACCCTGCTACAGGGACCCAGGGCAGGGTGGCATCCCCTGATTTCGGGTTGGTCAGGGTGGGCCCTTCACACCTTGTTCTGCGAGCCACCTGCCCTGGGGGCTGAGAGGGGCGCCGCTGTCCCAGACAGCGGGATTGGAGAGGAGCTGGCTGTTGTCACCTCTGGAAACCTGGGCATTCCCCCCAGGGGGCACAGGTCTGCCATGCCCGGGCCTGTGTCACGAGCTGGCAGTGTTTGAGCTGCAGGCCTGTCCCGGTGGGTTGCCCTGAAGAGAGCAGGCCGTCCGCGCTCCACAGCCTCCAGGAGCCACGTGCAGTGAGCAGCATGTCCGAGCATGTGTTCTCTTAGCAGTTTTGAGATAAATACATTTTTAAATTAAATCAAATCCCAAGGCCATACCCCTTCTGTCCAGACCCTGCCCAAATCCCTTCTCTAGCGTGGAGGCCTCAGCCCTACCTGCCACCCCCCATGGCCCCAAGCCCTCAGGTCTGTCCTGGGGCTTCTCCCCTTCCCTCTGGGGAGCCCTCTCCCTCCTGGGAACAAAGCTGAGCCTCCCAGGCTGTGACTTGCCATCTTAAGTTGAGGGCCCCTTTTCCTCATTCCCCTCTGTCCCCTCTGCTCGGTGGCTGTGTGCACTCCCCTACGCGTGCTCCGGCCACAGTTGCCAGCGTCCCTTTGCAGGAGAAATCCTCAGTGGCTGCAGTTCCACCTCATTGTCAGCCCTGCGATTAAAAAGCGCAGCTCTGTCATTAAGGGGAAGAAAATAACTCAAGCCTGCCCGCCCTGCAGGTTCCCAGGGGCGGAATGGGGGTGACAGCGGGAAGGAGAGAGGCAGCAGGGCCGGGCACCCTGCCAGGTCTCTCGTGGGCCAGAGGCTCTGGGCCTGGGCTCCTCCTCTGCCTCTTGTTTGCCTCTAACGTCGTTTCTCCTTCCTTAGAAATCGAAGCCATAAAACTGGCTGAGCAGAAGCACAGGGAGGAGCGGAGGCGGAGGGCCACGGTGGTGGTGGGGGACCTGCACCCTCTCAGGGATGCCCTGCCCGAGCTGCTGGGGCTCGAGGCTGGCAGCCGGCGCCAAGCCCGCAGGTGAGTGTCCGGGAGGGGTGGCCCTTTCCGAGCTGTGGGGCTGACCCGGGTCCAGAGGTGGAGGGATATGAGTGGGAGCCACGGGCCACGGTGCTTCCTGAGCCTGCAGAGGCCGAGAGCTGGGGCTCCAGCCGGTGCTCCGCACAGGTACCCTGTTCTCAGGGCGTGAGCTCGTGAGGCCCGTGGGGGCTGTGGGGGACGTTTCGGGGGCACCCAGGCCCACCCTTGTGAGGAGCCTGGTGGCTCTGCTGATGCCGAGCTCCCTCATGTGCCCCTCCCCCGACATTGACCACAGCTCCTGCCGGGTCCCACTGGGGGTCCCCCCAACTCACTGTTCTGCCACAGCCTCCACCCCACAGAGACCCTGCTGTGCTCAGCTGAGGCCCCTGAGCATCCACCATGCTCTTCTCGTGCCTCTGACAGGGGCTGCAGTCTCCCCTCCTGAGTGGACCTTTCCCTGATGCCCACCTAACACTGCACACCCTGTCCTGCCCCTCACTCTGTCGCACAGAGGGTGGCCCGTGAGGACGGCTCAGGCCTGCTGTCGGGTGTGGTGAGCGTGTGGGACCCACTCATGCAGGGCCCTGGGACACACATCCCAGAGCTTGTCCTCATGGGGCGGGAGCTGCCTCGTGCGTCCTCCCCAGGAGGGACGGGGCCTGATGTGAGTGCGGTTGCTCTCCCGAGCTGTACCTACCTGTGTGGGAAGCACATGCCTCCCAGCCTCACCACGGGTCTGGATGTGGTTTGTTCTTCAGGAAAGAGGCAGGCCCCTGCCCCACCCTTGGCTGCTGGCATCACAGCGCCCCTCCCCCGCCCCCTGCTGAGAGCTGGGGTGGTGGGTTCTGGGCCCTTAGTGCATGAGTGGCCAAGCCAGCGGGCCTGGGCCTGGGCCTGGACCCCAGTGGGGCCCCTCCACCCCCCTGCCCTGGGCAAGGCCTGGTCCCGAGCATGAGCCCTCCTCCTGACGCACTGAGGTGCTCCCTCCAGAACCCCATCACCCAGTGACACAACCCCGCCACCCAGTGACGCAACCCCCAGTGACACAACCCTGCCACCCGGTGACGCAACCCCCAGTGACACAACCCCCAGTGACGCAACCCCGCCACCCAATGAAGATACCACCACCCGGTGACGCAACCCCACCACCCATTGAGCCATTTGCCAGTGGCAGGTTCCATGTGCCCTGACAATGTGGACAGTGTTCCATGTGCCAGCCTGCTGTGGTGTGTGCACCCCAGGACGGCTCAACCAGGAGGGCAGCGGCTGCATGACCCTCCCTGTCACCTCGCAGGGGATGCAGCCTGCTGATAAGCTGCTGCCTGTGGCGCCCGTCTCCCAGGAGCTTGGCTTTCAGGCTCTTTGTGCCTGGGTCACATGCACGTGAAAGGAGAGCAGCCTCTGCCCTTCCCCTGTGGCTGGAAGGCACCACCCAGGTGTGGGTGCTGAGGCTCTGGGCTCAGGCGGGGGCTGTGTAGCCACAGCCCAGCTTTCAGGGCTGGAAAGAGGCCGGACCACTCTGTTCTGTCTCAGCTTCTGGGCCTTCCTCATTCATTTGTGTCATCTCTGTGCTTTTTTTTTTTTTTTTTGGAGACGGAGCCTTGCTCTGTCCCCCAGGCTGGAGTGCAGTGGCACGATCTTGGCTCACTGCAAGCTCCGCCTCCTGGGTTCACACCATTCTCCTGCCTCAGCCTCCCAAGTAGGTGGGACTACAGGCGCCCGCCACCATACCTGGCTAATTTTTTGTATTTTTAGCGGAGACGGGGTTTCACCGTGTTAGCCAGGATGGTCTAGATCTCCTGACCTCGTGATCCAGCCGCCTCGGCCTCCCAAAGTGCTGGGATTACAGGCGTGAGCCACCGCGCCTGGCCTAATTTTGCTGTTTAAAAAATAATTTTCTTTCTCCTACTAACTTTCCATCTGGGCAGAAAGCAGGGGCTGTGTGCAGTGTCAAACCTGGGGTCCATCCTTTCATGGCCCAGCTGCCCAGGCTCGAGGGTGGCAGGTCACGCGCTGCAGGCCCAGGCAGCTCCAGGCTGGCATCCCGCGGCGGAGGCACCAGAGCACTGGGTCCAGAATAGGAGCGGCCGCCCGGAGTGGCGATGTGATGACCGAACATTCCTGGTTCTTGGACAAAAATGTGACCCTGGTCAAGTATCCTTTCCCTGTTTTCAGTTTTCTCATCTGAAAAATGTGCTTGGCGCTCCCAGAAGGGAGAGGGCTGTATCAACACCCAGCCCCCAGGCCGAGGAGGATGTGCCCCTGCCTCCCTGCGGGGCTCTGGGCCGGGAAGGCACATCTGCTCTCAGCCCTGAGAGCCTCCTGTCGCTGGGAGTCCCCGTCCCTCCTCAGATGTGGCTCAGGCAGCAGTGCCTCCTGACCCTGGGGGAGCTCTTGGAATCAGCCCTATTTTAGACAGGCTTTAGATTCGTAGAAAAATGGCAAAGATGGTGCCAAGAGCTCCATGCAGCTCCCCCGTCCCCGCATGCTGTTGCTCTGACATGAGTGTGGTACGTTCGTCACATGGAAGGAACCAGTATCAACAGAGAAATAGTGAGCGTTAAGTAATTAATAGTTAACTAAAGCCCATACCTTAGGTTTCCTTCATTTTTCCCTAACGGACTCTTTCTGCCTCAGGATCCGTACAGGATCCCACGTGACATTCAGATGTCATGGCTCCCTCGGCCCGTCTTGGCTGTGAGTTTCTCAGACTCCTCTTGGTTTTAATGACCTTGACTGTTCTGAGGAAGCTGCCTGTCAGCTGAAGATCTGTCTGATGTTTTTCTAATGGGTACAGGAAGGGACTGGGTTTGGGGAGGAAGCCCCCAGAGGCGAAGTGCCACTGTCACTCCACTGTATTGGGCACACCCTGTCACCTGACTCACCGTGAGGCTGAGCTGGCCCCTGCTGGGTTGAGACCCCCCCTCCATGCTGTCCGCTTTGGGAGGAAGTCGCTCTGCAGCCCTGGCCTCGGGGTGGGGGTTGTGCTCTACCTCCTGGAAGACACAGCAGTGACAGAGACTGTTTGGAATCCTGCTGGGAAAGGAGCTTTGTCTCTTCTCCCCGTGTATGTGTCGCTCATGCGCCGGTGTTGGTCTGGACAGATGGATGTTTAGTTTACACACAGCGTTACTTGATTTTGGTGCCGAAACTGTTCCAGCATTGGCCGCTGGGAGTTCTTGCAGTTGCCCCCAGCTCCCTTTGGCCCCATTGACGTGGGGGTCGTATTTTTAGCTCTTTCCCACTGCCGAGCACCAACAGGTAACCCAGGCGCATCTTGGACATCTCCTGCCAGTCCTGCTGTTTCTCTAGGGAGCCCTGGCCCCTGTATTGCAGGAGGTGTGAGACCCTGAGATCTGGGGCTCGGTGCGCCTGTCCCAGGATCTGGGGTTTGGCGTGCCTGGGCGGCGGGCCGTGTCTCTGGGAACTGCATCTTGGTCCCGGCAGGCAGGTCTGCCCCACTGACCACCACTCTTGGACTCTGATGTGCTTTGGGCTTGAGGGGTCAGCAGGCGAGCACCAGTGGCCTGGGAGGCTGGAGGGTGGACAGCCTCTCCCTCCCAGCCTGGAGCTCTGTCTCTCACTTCTCCCCTTCCCACCTAGTGGGGAGAACATATGGCTTGGGCTGGCAGAGCTGTCCTTGTGGAACCCAAGCATTGGGTCCTTGCCCCACGGCCCCTCCCAACCCTCAGTCCCCTCAGTCCCCTCCCAACCCAGCTCCCTCAATCCCCTGTCCTGGCGCCCTGCCCTGAGGGCCTCATGCCCCTGGGGTGCAGGATGCAGAGCTGGAATCTCAGAGGCCAGGGCAGGGCCCGTGTTTGGGGTCCACGTCACTCCTGGCTGGGAAGCAGGCATCGAGCGACACTTGACTCCGGTGACCCCCATGCTCTGGACCTCCACCTCCTGTGTGCGCTTTGTGGGCAGTTGTCGGGAGGGGACCCCCCATGCTGTGGACCTCCGCCTCCTGTGTGCGCTTTGTGGGTGATTGTCGGGAGGGGAGTGGTGGTGACGCCGCTGCTCCTGCCTGGAGGGAGTGCCGTGGGGGCTGGTGAGGGTCCACACTGGGCGGAGTTAGGCTCCAATTCCTCCTCGGCTTCCTGCTGTTAGGCCTCGTGGAGTCGCGTCCCTGCCGGTGCTTGCCCTTGGCCCATGACGGTAACCGCCCAGCACTCTGTCCCCGGGGCCCTGAACTCCGGAAACCCCACTGGGTAGGCTGTGCGTCCCGCCTGGGAGGATGGGGTGTGGGACGCGTGGGTGGGGGACGGTCCCCGCAGTGGGGAGGGGAGGTGCCGCGCCTGGCCTCATGGGCACTGCAGCCACCCTGGGTGCAGCTCCTCTGCTTTGGGACCTTGGGAGGCATTGGTCCCACCCCCACTGCTAGTTCATCTCTTAAAGTGAGGGTGCAGCTCCAGGGCCCGAGGTTTCCCCAACCAGGAAGGATGTCCTGGACCCGGGCTCAGGTCTCCTGACCCAGCACGTGGCTGCCCAGAGCCCTGGCACCAGGGTGCACCTAGAGGAGGGGCCCCACGCTGATGGCTTCTGCAAGGATGGGGACCGGGGACAGCTCTGGGCAGTCAGTGAGGGAGCTGCTGCTCAGGGGTGGACACAGGGAGGGGGTCGGCTGGCCAGGGGGGCAGAGCTTCTGCATCGGGGCAAGGCTGGCCCAGGAGAGGCCGTGGGGAGATGTCGTCAGCCCCGGCAGAGCCCCTGCAATGAATGGAGCTGTGGCTTTGAGCGGGCAGAGGGGACGGGAGATGCGAGGGGCTGTCATCTGCCAGTGTGAGCAGGAAGGGATGGGGACTGATTCCTTCCCCAGATCAGCGCAGAGCTAGGGTTAAAAGAAAGCGGGTGCTGAGGGCTATTTTGGGCAGACACAAAATGTCTGTCATTCATATTTTAAGAGATCCATGAATAAAAGATGAAGTCTCCTGGCCCGAGGCTAAGTGTAGGGCTGGTCTGAGGACTCTGCGTCTCTGCCTTCCCGCCGTCGTCTGGGTCCCATCTCACTGTGTGGACGGCAGATCTGAGAAGGCGCCTGGTGTGGCCTTGCGGGTTCTCTGTTCCTTTTAAGGCCCAGGTCGCTGTCCCATGTGAACATTCGGCCAGGTGGGCGGCTGCCTTGGCCGGCTGACCACAAGGAGTGCAGGCGAGCTCCCGAAGATTCCCACGGTTAACTGAGGGTGAGAAGCTCCGCGGGCAGCCGGAGCCTGCCTGGGGTGGACGTCAGAGATGAGAGTGTCCTGGCCCGCCCGTGCCCTTAGTCAAGGCCCAGCTTGGTGGTTTGGAGATCCCAGGACTAAAGGAAATAGCCAGCAGCACTCAGGAAACCTCCTCAGTTCCTCCACCTGTCCATGGGGGACTGCAGTGCTCGTTGGCACCCCCCGCAGGTGCAGGCAGGGCAGGATCTACGGTGGGTCCACGCCCCTGTCCCCAAGTTCAGTCATCAGGAGGGCAGGTGCAGCTTCCCACTGTAGCACAGCGTGCGCCTTCTTCTAAAGAGAGGACCTGGGGACATGTAGGCTTGGGTGGGTGACTCAGCCTTCCTGGGAAGTGGTGTGTACTGCGGGAGTGGGACTGGCTGTGCCTGCCAGGGTCCTTTGGCCCGAAGTGTGAGGTGTCTGCGCAGCCTGCCCTGGCCAGGCAGGTGGGGTGGAGACGCTGTATATCGTGAGACGTGTTCCTGGCTGACCACTCCCTCCATGTCCCATGGAGCCAGGAGGAGCTGCAGGAGTCACCAGATTCCACACGGAGCAGCTTGGGGCCCGCGGTCACAGGACGGTCAGGCAGTTGCACTGCTTGTCCGGGGCGGTCACAGGACGGTCAGGCAGTTGCACTGCTTGTCCAGGTCTCGCCTCCATGGCCACAGTGCAGCTTGGAACTTGTGGTTCTGCAGTGGTTTGGTCACCTCTGGCCACCACGACGTCTGCTCTAAGAAGGGAGGAGCCAGCCTCTGCCCACGGGAAGGTGTTTAGGGGATGCTGGATGCTGACTCACGTGGCTTCTCTGTGTCCACAGCAGGGAGAGCAACAAGCCCCGGCCCTCAGAGCTCAGCCGGATGAGCGCAGCCCAGAGACAGCAGCTTCTGTGAGTGCACCTGCCCACCTCCTCAGGGGTTCAGCTCCTGAGTGCCCTCACCCTGCCCACCCTCTCCAGGGGTTCAGCTCCTATGTGCCCTCACCCCGCCCACCCTCTCCAGGGGTTCAGCTCCTGAGTGCCCTCACCCCGCCCACCCTCTCCAGGGGTTCAGCTCCTATGTGCCCTCACCCCGCCCACCCTCTCCAGGGGTTCAGCTCCTGAGTGCCCTCACCCCGCCCACCCTCTCCAGGGATTCAGCTCCTGAGTGCCCTCACCCCGCCCACCCTCTCCAGGGGTTCAGCTCCTATGTGCCCTCGCCCCGCCCACCCTCTCCAGGGATTCAGCTCCTGAGTGCCCTCACCCCGCCCACCCTCTCCAGGGGTTCAGCTCCTATGTGCCCTCGCCCCGCCCACCCTCTCCAGGGGTTCAGCTCCTGTGTGCCCCCACCCCGCCCTCTCCAGGGGTCCTGAGTGCCTCCAGCCTGCCCTCCCAGGGGTTCAGCGGCTGAGAGCCCCGCCCGTGCCTCTAGTCCCCTCCACGCTGCTCCGCTGGCTCCTGCCTGTCTGCTCCAGGGGGGCTTTTCAGTGCAGTCAGGTCCTGTGGCCCTGGGTCAAGTCCCGCCTCCCAGGAAGGCTTCCAAGGGGAGTCATGGATCTAAAATGATGGGTGGACGCAGCCCCATCTCCGCCCCTCCCCTCCGCTGGCTGGTTGAAATCTGGATGATACGTTTGGTTCTGTGACTGGGCACTGCGGCCCCCAGTTAGCAGGGCTAGGACACTGATTTGCAGAAATTTGTACTCAGTTGTCCTCTTGGGTACAAAAATCTCCAGACCACGCACGCTCTCTTGCCTCTTTGCAGACTCAGCTCCAGTTTCCACTGAGAGAGCCACATTTTACGCCCTTGTAAGATGGTTTTAGTTAGCTGCTGGGATGATTTTTCCTGTGGTTTGAAATGGCTTTACTCAGGTGTTTATCAGTGGGAGCGTTTTGTGTCAGTTCTACCGAGGCCCATTGTGCCTTTCCAGTTGAGAGTCTGAAGTCTGTTTTGTGAGTTCGATTATGCTTAGAAGCTGCTGTCTGTTTTGTGAGTACAGTTATGTTGGGAAGCTGGTGTCGAATGGTAGCTCCAAAGATTTCTTTATTGTCTCGGCCCTTCTTCAGGGGCACCAATTATGCACTTACTGGATCTCTCTAATCTATCTGTCTTCCATCTCATGTTCTCTAATCCATTTTTACTCTAGACACTTTGTAGGGTCTAGGTGAAGTATAGATAGTATAGTAAACTGTCTTTTTTAGTTTTTTAAAAAGTTTTTATTTTTATTTTTTAGAGACAGTTCCTTGCTCTGTGGCCCAGGCTGGAGTGCAGAGGTGTGATCAAGGCTCACTGCAGCCTCCGCCTCCTGGGCTGCAGCGATCCTCCTGCCTCGGCCTCCTGAGGAGCAGGGTCTTCCCGTAGATCTTTGTGTTTGTCCTCTTTGGTTTCTGCTTCTCTGTTTATGAACTGAGTTCTTCCCAGGCCAGTCTTGTCTGGAGACAGTTTGCGAACAGCAGAGCCCTCTCCGTGTGGCCATCGTCCTGCCTGGCCTCCCTCTCCGCCTCTCCCCAGTGCACAGCCTGGTCCGGGGAGCCCCTCCCTGCCTGGACAGGGCGACGGGTTTTCCTCTTGCAGACTGTCTGTCGCCCGCACCCCTCGGTGCCCCCATGTCCTTGCGGTCGCGGCATTTTGAAGCAGCTCAGGTTAACGGGTCTCCTGGTTTCATCAAAGATGGAGTTTGGTTTCTCGCTGCTTCTGAGAGGAGAGCAGGAGGCCCCTTCCTTGTTCACTCCGTGTTTTGGAGCCAGAGGTCTGTTCCCTTTCATGTCCATGGTGCTTTCTGGCGCCTGTGGACAGGGCTCAGGTGTTTGAGTGGCTTGGATCCTTCGATCCCAAGATCCCAGTGGGAAGCAAGAGTGTTCCCCTCCCTGGGTCATGCTCCCCTGGGGGCTTCATGTTGGGCATGAGCCTTGTAGCTCCTGGAGCTGGTGGTCCGTGCCCCAAGGCTGCTCCCCTGAGTACGAAACCAAGGAAGGGCTTTTCTCTCAGGTGGGAGGCCCCGTCTATGGGTCTCTGTTTACGGTTGTCCAGGATGGCATCTGGAGGCCTGGCCCAGCATGGGAGCCACACAGTGCCAGGGGCACCGAACCCGTGTCCCATAGTGTCTAAACTCAGGCGCAGGCACAGGCTCCCCCTGCAGCCCCTCCCCGTGCAGCTTCGCTTCCAAGCGTCACTGTCACGGCTCCTTTCCTTCCCCAGCTCTGACCCAGGACTCTGCCCAGTGGACCACAGTGCTAAGAACCTGGCCTGGGCCTTCCCCTGGCCTCGGCTCCTCAGTTGCCCCAGGTGGGGCCTTGTTGGGTCCTGGTAGCCCCAGAGATCACTAGTAATGTCCAGGCTGTGACTGGGGCATTTCACCCTGACTTTACGGGGACAGCCCCAGCTGCCATGCTGGGGCCAGGGTGGCAGTGGCAGGAGGAGGTGGTGGTTAGTGACCAGCAGAGCCCTGACCGCCTCCTGCTGTGGAGACGGCCCCAGCCCCACTGTCCTCTGTGGCTCTGGTGTGTGGGCACCCCGCCCAGGCGGTCGTCCAGCGGGGTGTGAAAGAGCCTTGTCAACTGCCCAGGAAACCAGGGCCAGTGTGGTCCAGCCTTGCACAAGGCTCCGTGCACACGGGGCACACAGGCCGGAGGGGTACAGGCCCCACCTCCCCGCCACCAGGCTCAGGGCCTCTTGGCAGCTGCGGCAGAGCCCGTCTGGGAGCTGCCCCCGAGGCTTCTGTGCCTGAGAGGGGACCCAGGCCACCTTTTGTGTTCCACAGGGCAGCTCTCTGGCGTGCGGCTGGCTGCGCGGGGTTTAGAGCAGGAGCTGAGTGGCCGCCGGGCTGGGTGGCGGCTGGGGTGAGCTGGTGCCATGCTGGGTCGTCGCCGTGGCACCCATCTGGGGCTGCCGCGCCCCACTCTGCTGCAGGCCTCTGCCGGCTCAGGCTCTCGGCTCTCGGCTCTCGGCTCTCCTCTGTGTGCACCTATTTTGGTTGCCCGTGGAGGGAGCCGTCTCTCATGTAAGGAGTGAGTCTGCAGGGCTTGGGAGTTGCCGCCGCGTTTCTCAGCCTTGGCGGCAGCCCCATCAGCCCCAGACTTGCTGGCTGGGTGACACCTCAACGGCAGACCCCACAGTGGGCGCTGCCAGGGCTCTGGGATGCACGTGGCCACGAGGAGGGCCCGGGGCAGCCTCTCCCCTCCTGCCGGAAGTTTCCGAGGCCCCAGTACTCAGTCCCGTGGTGGCCCCAGGCCTCTGCCATTCATTTCGGTGTCTGACGTTTCCGGGTGTTGAGGGGCTGAGGGGTCCGGGGGTTCCTGCCTGCTGATCTGTGGTCTCCATTCTTTCAGCGAGGAAGAAAGGACCCGGTTTCAGGAGCTGCTGGCCAGTCCGGCCTACAGAGCCAGCCCCCTGGTGGCCATCGGGCAGACGCTGGCCCGGCAGATGCAGCTGGAAGATGGCGGCCAGCTCTGACCAGGGCAGCGGGCATGCCACAACTCCTCAGGACACATGTGGGCCAAGTAGAGAGCGCCGGCCCCTCAAGGACCATGGCCTGAGCCTGGTGGACGCCCTTCCCTCTGGTCGGTTGTGGGGCTCAATAAATGGCTCTGTGAACTTCCCCTGCACTGCCAGGGCCGTTCCCATGAGCTGCTTCCCTGATTCACAGGGCTGGGCACACCCTGGGACAGCTGCCCCCACTCTCCTCAGGACAACAAGCCACATCCCTCCACTGGGGGCCCCAGCCCCCACGCAGTCAGGGTGGACCGTGCACAGGGTTTGTGGGGACTGCAGTTGTGGAGGCCCCAAGTCCGTCCCTGAGCAGGCGCTGGTGCCCACAAGATAGTCTGCTGGCTGTGTTGGGAAGGAATTGTGCCTGGGTGTGGCCCCAGCTGTGCCACCAGCCGCCCTGATTTGCTTCAGCCTCAGTTCCTGCTGCGGCCCTGGTAGGATCCAGGAGCACTGAGGCCTGCAGGGGCTGCCGTGGGGGCTGGCTCAGGGCCTTCACCACCTGGGGGTCTGTTTCCCTTCCAGTCTCCCCTGCCATCCTCAGTGACCAGGGACACAGATGGCCCTGGCAAGGCCCCCGGCCTGCTCCTCGCCTGTGGGCTGCACCCCCCCTACCCCACCCGTTGCCCTCACCCTACCCAGCTGCTCCACACCCAGGCAGCCCACTGCCTTGCTCTGGGGGCGGAGAGCAGAGGGTCCTTCTGCAGGGAGGAGACGCGGAGTGGGCCCAGCCCTGAAGCTCTTGCTGACCCGGAAGTGAGAGAGGTCCTCCTTTGTTGCTGGAAGCCCTGGGATTTGGGGGTTGGTTTTTGGACTGTGAATCAGTGACTGATCAGTCCTTGTTTTCAGGTTGTGGAAAGCAAGGGGGTGGTGCGTCCCCAGGCCCCTGAGGCCCAGCTTGGCTCCCCCTGCCCGAGCTCCCCCCGTCCCAGGGCCCTGCAGGGCCTCGCTGGCCCATGTCCTGCAGCGGGGCTGGGCAGGCTGGATGTGGTGGTGTACCCCACTCAGAGTGTCTGGGAAGTGCAGAGCAGGACCACTCTCAGCTCCCAGGCGGGGGCCCAGCACCCTGAGCCTTCCCAGGCTGCCTGGGGTGGGGGTGGTCCCAGGGACTCTGGGGCCTCCTGGCTCCAGGGCATGTGGGTGGCCCCTATGCACAGCCCCTCTTGTTGTGAGCCCCCATGATCCGACCTCCTCTGGCCTTGCTGCCTGCTCAGGGTTCATAGCCCCAGCAGCCCCGCCAAGGATGCCTGGCGAGTGGGTGGCCGAGGCAAGTTGGAGCCTGTGTCCCTGCTGTTCAGTGTCCTGGCCCTTCCCTGACACGAGCAGACACGGCATCCACAGAGACAGCCCGGACACCCTCCAAGGCCCCGGCCGATGGGACAGACGGGCGTACAGGAGCCATAGGCAGCAGATCCCACGCTCCCTCGGCCGGGGCCAGCTTGGCTGCCCAGCCCCAGCTCCTTAGAGAACGGGCTTCTCGCTTCAGAGGAGCTGGTCACAAACCAGTGGTCGCGACAAAACCATTCCTGTGGTGGAGCGCGTGTGGGGCGCGTGTGGGGCGCGTGTGGGGCGCGTGTGGAGCGGGTGTGGGGCGCGTGTGGAACGTGTGTGGGGCGGGTGTGGGGCGGGTGTGGGGCGGGTGTGGGGCGCGTGTGGGGCGGGTGTGGGGCGCGTGTGGGGCGGGTGTGGGGCGCGTGTGGGGCGGGTGTGGGGCGCGTGTGGGGCGGGTGTGGGGCGCGTGTGGGGCGGGTGTGGGGCGCGTGTGGAACGTGTGTGGGGCGCGTGTGGAGCGGGTGTGGGGCGGGTGTGGGGCGCGTGTGGGGCGGGTGTGGGGCGCGTGTGGGGCGGGTGTGGGGCACGTGTGGAACGTGTGTGGAACGTGTGTGGGGCGCGTGTGGGGCGGGTGTGGGGCGCGTGTGGGGCGGGTGTGGAGCGCGTGAGGGGCGCGTGTGGGGCGGGTGTGGGGCGGGTGTGGGGCGCGTGTGGGGCGGATGTGGGGCGCGTGTTGGGAACAGCGTCCGGGATGCACAGAGCACAGCGCGGTGGGGAGGCGGCAGGGGCGGCTTCCACTTCCTCCAGCATCCCAATCCCACCGTCTGGGTTTCTTGTGAAAAACCTGGCCGGGCGCAGTGGCGCACACCTGTAGTCCCAGCACTTGGGGAGGCCAAGGCAGTCGTATCACTTGAGGCCAGGAGTTCAAGACCAGCCAACATAGTGAGACCCCATCTTGACAAAAAAATAGAAAAATTAGCCGGGTGTGGTGGTGCGTGCCTGTAGTCAGCTACTGGGGAGGCTGAGGTGGGAGGATTGCTTGAGCCTAGGAGGCCGTGGCTATAGTGAGCCAAGATTGCGCCACAGCACTCCCACCTGGGTGACAGGGTGATCCTCTCTCTAAAAAATAAAAACGTAAAAATGTTTTTTGCTTCCTGGTTTTGAAATGACTCTTGTCTGGTTGTGGCTCGCAGCCCCTCTTCTAGGGATCCTTGCGGGCTCAGGGGCCTCTAACTCCTCCCTGGGTAAGCAGCCCCCGGCGGTGCCTGAGAGTCGTGTGGAGGAGGGTGCCGCGGAAGGGAGGAGGATGCCGCGGAAGGGAGGAGGGTGCCGCGGAAGGGCGGAGGGTGCCGTGGAAGGACAGCGACAGGTACTTGGCCGGGCAGGAGTGGCAGCAGGTGTCCCATCGGCTGAGATGGATGCAGATTGTCCCAGGAAAGTAGCCCTTGATAGTATTTGCGGGGGTGCCACCCCAGCATTCTTTGCAGGTGCAGAGCCCAACCCTCAGCTAAGGCCGCAGCTGGGGCAGGGTCATCTTGTGACAGAAGGGCGTCCAAGTGTGGGGTTATCCGTGGCTGTCAGCTGAGCGCTCCTGGCCACCATTGAGAGGGAGGCTCCAGGCGGAGGATGGGGTGTGTGCATTCTCTGGACAGACACCTGGGGTAGAGCCCCTGAATCAGCAGATCAGAGAGGATGACTGTAGGAGCTTCAGGAGCAGGAACATGAATCCCTCGGTAATCGATTTAAACAAGTTCTACAGTTGACTCGGCTTTCATGCCTTTTAGACCCTGGGGCCCTCGGTGCATTTTTCCGAGTTAAAGGGTTAACACAGCAGATCAAAGCTTCCTGGGGCCTGGAGGTGCCTGGCGCTGGCCTGCAGGACTCTGAGAAGCTCTGGGCTGGGACCGTGGATGCCAGGCTCAAGGCCCGCAGACCTGGGCTGGGCACGTCCCGGGTGCCTCAGCCCCAGGCCCAGTGTTGGCATATGGGGGACTGTGGGGCACAATGGGAGACAGGAGAGGCAGTGGGAGGAGCCCCCCACCCTGCCAGTCCCGCAGGAAGGGCAGTGTCTGGTTGCAGGGGGTGTGGGGTGTTGGCCAAAGGAATAGCAAATGCCTGGCCCAGAGTGAAGGGCTCCTGGCTGGGATGGCCACAGGCCCTGGGGGGTCTCCCTCAGCCCCGGGCAGGCCCAGGTTCTCCTTCCAGGCGCCCGGGATCTCCTTTGTCCCTGGCTGTCCTCAGGCTGCACTTAGTGTGGCCACTCCAAGGGGGGCTGAGGAAACCACCTCTCAGCACCTACCAGGCTTCTGTAAGGCCCACACCCAGCAGCTATTGGATCCGCCTTTCCCCAAGAAAGCCCCCGGCCCTCCCCTTCTTCTCAGGCCCCTCACTGAGTCAGCAATCCCTGTTCCCAGGAGCTGTGTGTCCGTCACCAACTGCCGTCCTGGTCCTCAAGCAAGCAGGGACCGTTCCCACTGCTCCGGGGCAGGCCCCGCACACCCTGGCCAGCCTCGCTGGCTCCTGGAGCTGCCGTGACAAACGCACACAGTGGGGGCGTCAGGCAGCAGTGCATTGTCTGTGTCCCGGAGGCCGGTGGTCTGCACTTGGGGTGTCGAGAGCCGCCTCCCTCAGGCTGCAGGGCAGGGTCCTTCTTTGCCTGTCCGGCTGCTGGTGATTACTTGTGTTTCTGATTCCAGACGCTTCCTCCTGGTGCCACAGATGCCGGCAGCCCTTGGTTTCCTGGCTTGTGGCCACGTCACTCGCGTCGCTGTGTCTGTGACGCCCCATAAGGACACCGGCCATGTTGGGTTAGGGCCCTCCCTGCTCCAGTGTGGCCTCATCTTGACTGGTTCCAAATATGGTCCGGCTCTGAGGTTCTGGGGGACGTGAGTTTTGGGAAATCTCCAGTCTAGGGGGTGGTCTTGGGCACCAGGGTTTTAGACGCCCCTGCCGCAGGTGGGAGGGGGCCTGCAGCTGGAGCTGAGCACCATGGGCGTGGTGGGGGCTGCGGAGGTGGTGTGGGCCTCATGGCCAGGAGTTGGGGCCTGGGCAGCCATAGGGGGCTGCTGATGGCCACGAATGGGCTGAGGCTGGGATGTGAGGATTAGGGAAGGAAAGTGGAAGCTGTTCCAGGGCCCGTGGGGTCGTCCACGCCGGCTCCCCTTGCCCACCCGGACCTCTGGCCCCTTCTCAGGGTCTGATCTCCCAGTGCAAACAGAAGCACCCGGCCCCTGCCTTTGTCCAGCACCTTCCTGGCCTGGCCACGATGCTCCTGGACACTTTGGGCCCCGGTTTTCCTTTCTTATTTCCTCACCGGAAGGAAAGCTCCTGAGAGCAGGGTCTTTGCCCTGTGCGTGCTGTGTGAGCAGCACCGGGACTGTGCACAGATGAGTGAATGAGAGGCAGGAGACAGCGGGGCCTGGATGGGCCCTGCACACAGAGCCTGCGTGTGGTGTTCACGGGGGACAGCGGGGCCCGGACGGGGCCCTGCACACAGAGCCTGCGTGTGGTGTTCAGAGGGGACAGCGGGGCCTGGACGGGCCCTGCACACAGAGCCTGCGTGTGGTGTTCACGGGGGACAGCGGGGCCCGGACGGGGCCCTGCACACAGAGCCTGCGTGTGGTGTTCAGAGGGGACAGCGGGGCCTGGACGGGGCCCTGCACACAGAGCCTGCGTGTGGTGTTCAGGGGGGACAGCGGGGCCCGGACGGGGCCCTGCACACAGAGCCTGCGTGTGGTGTTCAGGGGGGACAGCGGGGCCTGGACGGGGCCCTGCACACAGAGCCTGCGTGTGGTGTTCAGGGGGGACAGCGGGGCCTGGACGGGCCCTGCACACAGAGCCTGCGTGTGGTGTTCACGGGGGACAGCGGGGCCTGGACGGGGCCCTGCACACAGAGCCTGCGTGTGGTGTTCAGAGGGGGACAGCGGGGCCTGGACGGGGCCCTGCACACAGAGCCTGCGTGTGGTGTTCACGGGGGACAGCGGGGCCTGGACGGGGCCCTGCACACAGAGCCTGCGTGTGGTGTTCAGAGGGGGACAGCGGGGCCTGGACGGGGCCCTGCACACAGAGCCTGCGTGTGGTGTTCAGGGGGGACAGCGGGGCCTGGACGGGGCCCTGCACACAGAGCCTGCGTGTGGTGTTCAGAGGGGACAGCGGGGCCTGGACGGGCCCCTGCACACAGAGCCTGCGTGTGGTGTTAAGAGGGACAGCGGGGCCTTGACGGGGCCCTGCACACAGAGCCTGGTGTGGTGTTCAGGGGGACAGCGGGGCCTGGACGGGCCCTGCACACAGAGCCTGCGTGTGGTGTTCACGGGGACAGCGGGGGCCTGGACGGGGCCCTGCACACAGAGCTGACTCCAGCGTCCCGATGGACCTCTCCCTGAGCTGTCCGTCTCAGCCTGCCCGTTCTACCTTCCCCTGTGGGCAAGCGTGGTGGGGTCCACCCAGATCACCCCAGACGTGTGAGTGCGTCAGCTCCCGGCAAGGGGTGTGTTCCGTGCAGCATTGCCGTGGGAGGCGGCGGGACCCTGTGCTGGCCCTGAGGGCTGGCTTGCATTCGGGTCCCTTGCTCCGCTGCCTGGATCGCTGGGCTCTGAGAGTGCCCCACGCGAGGGCTTTGTCTTGATGAGGCCTGCACCTGGCTTGTCCAGGCCCCACAGCGGCCTTGCACCAGCCTGAGTTTGTCCCTGAAGGTTACATCGGGTCTGTGACCTTCGTCTTGTGTGGGGAGGGAGGGCGGTGACGGGCCGCATCGGGCAGGGGCAAGGCACAGCCGCGACCCCCAGGCTGGTGAGTCAGGGTTCTGTGCTGCTTGGAAGCCAAGTGTTGTACAAACACCGGGCGTGTTGATTCTGGAATGTTCCCTATGTGGCGATAACGCCGGTGACGGCAGCCACTGTCGTTGCTCTGAGACGCTGGTGGGTGCTGGCTGCCGCCCAGGCCTTGTCTGCCTGCAGCCCCCGGCGGCCCCTCCAGCCTGGTGGGTTCTCAGCTGCCGCCGTGACCAGGGTTTTCCAGGGACACTGCTATCAGTGAGCGCTTCCAGGATGCCGGGGTGGCTGCCGGCGGGCGGGGAGGCAGGATGCTGGTCTTGCCTCCTTCCCCTTTGAAGTTGCCGTCTTGGGGCGTCTGTGCTGGGCCCTGGCTCCTGGCGCTGAGACCCTCATGGAAAGCTCCCTTCTTTTAAAGTCAAACAGACCCAATTAAAGTGTTTTTTCCAAAGATGTTAAAATAATGTGGGTCAGAGTGATAATGACAGGCCTCTTCCCTGGCTTGTTTCAGCCTTCCCTGAAGATGAGGAAGTTTTCATTTTAAAATTTTTGGTGGGGTATTTCTCAGAGAAAACCGGTGATGACATGTTTTCTGATTCTAAATACTTCTTCCCGGTGACACACATGCAGAGGCGCCTGGGGCCTGAGAGTCCCTGCAAGTACTGTGGAGCAGAGGCCTCATCTCCTGGTGGCCGGAGCCACATAGGACAGAAGGCCCTGGAGCCCTGAGTGGGGAAACTGAGGCCCAAGAGGAGAGAGCCTCCCTCCCCAGCCAGCCAGGTGATGGCGCTGAGATTCAGGAGCACGGAGCTTCTGACTCTCGCCTCCATGTTCAAGGTCAGCGTCCACCCCAGGCCCCGTGTTACTTGCTGAGCCTCCTGCTGTGCTCAGGTCTGTGTGAGGGGGACCGCGGTGCACACTCCAGTGTCCCGGGAGGAGCGGCCCCCAGGCGTCACGGGGCCGGAGGCAGGGGCCGCCCCTCCACAGGGTCCGAGACAGAATCTATTTTCCATTTGAGCCTCTCCCTCCCGAACTCCAAGTTCAGGGGTGGGATTCACATACTCTCACACCCCGCTCCACACACCCCACACTCACATCCCCTCACATACACACCCCTCCCCACACCCCACACACTCACACCCCACATACACCCCTACACACACCCTACACACACACACCCCCCACACACACCCCACACACCCACACACCCCACACACCCCACACCCACACACCCCACACCCACACACCCCCATACACCCCCATACACCCCCATACACCCCCCCACACACACGCCCACACACACCCACACACACGCCACATACACCCCCAAACACCCCCACACATACATCCGACACATGCCCCCCACACTCACACCCCTCCATACACCCCAATACACACCCCCCACACTTGCACCCCTCCACTCACACATCGCACACACACTGCACACACACACCCTCCCACACACCCCACAGTCCCACACACCCCACACACCCCTCCATACATCCCCCCCACACAGCCCCCCACACACCCCCAACACTGGCGCCCACCCTGCTGTCTCAGGAGAAGCCCCCATGCTGGGCCTATGGCCTCTCGGGCTCTGGCATCCCCCACCGGCCCCGATGGTGGCGGTGACCACACGCAGTCGTAAGGACGGGCGGCGTGAGGGCCCCGCTGAGCCGAGTGTGACCTGTGTGCTCCAGCCTGGAGCTGGCATGGCCGGGGCGCCCTTCATGGGTGGCAGAGTCCTGGCCTCCCCGCCTTCCCAGTGGGTAGCACACTCCCCTCTTCCCCCGGCCTTAGCTCTGGATTTCCTGGCACAGCCGTGATTACTCCACCTCGGCCCCCTCCCCTGGGCCCGGAAGACTAATTAACCCTGATGTTTAATTGGAGAACACGGCCGGGCCTGTGTCTGTGCGGCTCCTGTGGGATGGGGGCAGCCTTCTGTCTCTCCCCTCTGGAACTCTGCATGGCTCCTGGGTGGCCTGGGGTTTGACTGGACCTGGCCTTTGCCCCACGGCCCCTCCACCCCCGGCGAAACTGCCCCCACCCACACAGGGCCTGGCTCCCGCTGCCTGAACCCTGTCCCTGGCAGGGCCCACAAGCTCTGTCTCATTTGTGCGACAGCCGTGATCCCTGCTCCAGCCCGCCCCCTCGGAGCTCAGCCACGGGGGCATAGGATGGCCACAGGAAGTCCTGTCCCCTGTACCCTTGGGCCGGCCCTGAAGTCTCCCGGGAGGGAAAGGGGTGCCTGTGGGAGGCGGGAGAGTTCTGATTGGAGGGTGGTCAGCCCTGGGCCCTGGAGAGACAGCCCCAGTGGGGACTGAGGAGGGTGGAGGTGAGGCTGGGCGGGTAGCAGGCAGCTTCCGGCCAGGAGGTGCTCGGGGACCAGGATCCCCACTCCCGACTTTGCTGCTTTGGGATGAGCTCTGGCAGGTGGGGCGCAGGGGCAGGCAGAACTCAGGCCCATGTGGAACAGGCGGGGACGGGCTCGCCGGGCCCGGGAATGAGCGGGGCCTGCCGGCCTCCCAGTCTCATGGCAGGCTGCTTGTAAGAGAAGACCCGAGTCCTGGTGGCTTGTGTTTAAAATGCGGTGGGCCTTTCCGTCTCAAAGTGAGAAGTCTGGGCACAGGCAGTCCCAGCCTCTACGATGCCATTGGTAGCCCGGGGCCACCACCCTTCCCTCGTTCTCATGCCAAACAGCTGCCAGAGCCCCAGCTGTCACGTCTGCATCCCAGTCCCCGAGATGAGGCTGTGGGCCCCACAAAGCTGGTGCTTTTGCTTACAGGTACTGAGCATGGAGGCAGCAGGGAAGCTGGCAGGAAGCTCCCTGCCCTCCAGGGAAGGTATCTGTCCCCTGTTGCCCAGGCCATGGGCAGGGACAGGAAAGCAGCTTGCAAATCCTCTGGGGTGACTGGGCTCGGGCAGGGGCCCCATGTCACAGACGCTCCCAGCCCTGCAGGCGGGAGCTTGCATTTTCCAGAGAGAAAGTCCAGAGCGGGTGGGGGGTGAACGGCGTGCCAGGGCTGATCCTCTGTCAGGCCCTTGTGGTCTGGTGCTGCTGGAGTGCTCTAGGGGGAGAGGGTGCCTGTCCCAAGGAGCAGGGACGGTGCCCTGTTTGCTGCAGAAACACAGGCACACCTGCTGTCTGTTAGAAGACAGCCGCTTACCTGCACCCCAGTATGCCCCCAGGAGATGCCTGCACCACCTCTGGGAGAGAGTGGGCAGCTCAGCCAGGGGCCCAGGCCAGCCCGGGCAGGGGTGGCCAAAACCCATGCCAACAGGACATCTCTGGCCTCTGGGGACAGAACCCGGCACCATCGAAGCCTCAGGAAGGCCTGGACTCTGGGGAGCCCTCCACAGAGCTGGGAGGGAGCCCCAGGGCCTCTCTGTTCCCATCGGCAGCTCTGCGGCCTGCGGTCCCGGGTTCCTGTGTCCGCTGACCACATGCCATGATCGCTGCCCGCTGGAGAGCAGGACCCAGGGTGAGGTCTCTGCCCGCAACATGAGGCCCAGTGGGTGGTTTGCTATTGGCTTGGCCTCAGACCTGGTGGCTGAGGCTTTGGGGAGGTCATGCTCCCTCTGTGGGCCTCAGTTGACCCTCCTCTGTAAGCTAGGGGAGCTGGAGTGGACCCCTGAGACCCTCCCGGCAGCTCTGTTCTGGGGCTTCTGTGCCCCTGTAATGGACGCGCTGCCTTGGCCCCAGACCCCATCCTTTGGCGGCTGCTGCTCCCCGCCTGTTTCCACTGGACCCTTCAGCTGCCAACCAGCCTGGGCCTCCCCGCCCTGGGCAGTGGGCACATGGCCAAGCCCAGCTGGACTGACCCTCAGGGCCCTGCTGAAAGTGCCACCAGGAGGCATCTATGCATGGGTGTCTCGAAAACCCAAAATCCTTTCCAACGGGCACTGCTGCTGGTCAGTGTCAGCCAACCTCTGTGGCCTGGTGCATGGGGAGGGTTGGGGCTCCAGGTCTGCAGACACGAGGCAGCAGCCACCTCTGCTCAGGATGGCGCAGGGCCCTGGGATCCCTAGGACCCAGCCCGTGGACCCCAGGCTCCGGGGTGCCATGCTGGTCACGTTCCTCCTTCCCAGAAGCATCCTGGCTCCCCCGGGCTCAGTGAGAAGTGGCCGAGGACTCAGGCCAGAGGACAGCTGAGCCCCGTGGCACTTGGGTCCACTCAGACAAGGCCCTGCCTGGGGGTGATGCTGGGGGCCGGGGCGGTGGCCGTGCTGACCACTGGCTGCTAGGGTGGGGGGCCCCATACTCCCCACTCAAGCTTCGGGGGTGGGCTGGTGTCCAGGTTTAGACGAGGCAGGTGGGACCCAGAAGCACAGGCTGCTTACAGAGCAGCAGGTGGTTCTCATTGCCAGACGGACAGGCCTGGGACCAGCCTCTCGGCCCTGGGGTTCCTGTGTGCTCCAAGGACCTGCGGCCTCGGCTGCAGGAGAGGCCAGTGCAGCCAGGCAGGCCCAGCTCCGAGAGCCAGGCTGGGGTGGGCTTCCCGCCGGGCACTGCTCCACCCGCCTTCTCCCTGAAGGTCCCATTCCACCACAACTGGAACCAAGGCCTCTGCTCACCCCCAGGCCCCCAGCAGTGTTGCCTGCAGACTCATCTCTGCCACGTCCCCCATCGCAGTCTCCTCCCAGCATACTCCAAGGCTGCCTCCTCCGAGGAGCCTTCCCAGCTGCTCCGTGGGTGGCCCTGTCCCTGCCCCTCCCTCCCGTGGCCCTGTGCATCCCTCCTGGCCCTCTTTTCCAAGGCCGGAAGTCAGACACCTTTTGGGATCTGCGTGCCTGAGTCCTGCGGCCCTTCCTGGAGGGGAAGCTCGGCAGAGCCCCCCAATTCCCTCCCACTCCTCACCACCCCTTCCTGCGGTCCCTGGGATGGGGAGGGCTTATTCACAGCCGACTTGGCCAGGGAGGTGTGGGCCAGGCCGGAGCCGCTGCAGGCGCTTCACCCAGACAGGCCGGAGCCCGTGGGCTGGGACCAGGGCAGAGTCGTAGAAGCTGCACAAAGATGTTTAGGGGCCACATGCTGCCGTGGAGGCCGTGCAATGAAATCGGCCCCATCCAGAGCCCCCGTCCTTGGAAGAACAACTGGCCTGTGGCTGTGTGGGCTCCTCAGGTGGCCCCCCCCGGGGCGTGGAGAGCGGCCGAGCCAGGGCCAGTGCTCTTGGTCCACACGGGCTTCCCAGCCGGCTTGCAAGGTCCCCGTTCACCCGATTCCCCAAAGGAGACCTCCTGTCACGACAACGTGAGTGCTCCACAGCCAGGGGAGGTGCTGCAGCTGCAGAGGATGGGCACGCGGCACTGACCCCTGCCGAGGGGGCACCCAAGCGGCCTCGTCCTTCCCGCAACCCAAGGAAGGAAGCCCCAGGGTTTCCCAAAGTCCTCAGGGGAAAGCCTGCTGAAAAGCACAATTGCACCTAGAAAGTCAAGGCACACCCGCAGTCTCGCCCGTGCTCTCTGGGGCGGAGCTAGGGGGCATGTGTGCATGCATGTGTGTGCGTGTGTGTGCACGCCTGTGTGTGCATGTGTGTGTGTGCACATGTGTGCATGTGGGCGCCTTTGTGTGCATGTGTGCATGTGTGTGCGTGTGTGCGGGCAGGCGTGCATGTGTGCGTGTGCATGCGTGTGCGTGCGTGTGTGTGCGTGTGCGTGTGCATGGTTTCAGAGGCAAACCCAAGCATTCTCAACCAGCATGTAGGCATTTGCTTTTATGCACGCAGTCTATCAGAGTAGGGATGAAGCCCATCATTCCTAATTGTGGAACACTTTTGTCAGGAGATTTTATTGACTTTCCTCTCGGTGCCCTTTGAGAAAATTGTGTTTTTCTATTGTTTGTCCTGCTGGCAGGTGAAAGGTGTTTTCCTCCTGCGTGCTGCACAGCCTGAGTTTCTGAAGTCCCGAGCTCACGGACGGGAATTCCTGGGCCGGGCTGTATTTTGCCTGCTGGGGCCTCGTTTTGGAGTTGTCCTCTGCCCATGAGTGAACTGGCCCGTAACCTTCTGTTCCAATTTCATATTCTGGGGCAGCAGAGGGTTCCTCCTGGCTGGTATCCGGCCCTGGCTGAACAGAGGCCTGCCCTGCAGCTCAGGAGTCGTGTCTCTGACGCCTTGGGGTTGCAGGTTTTCAGCAGTGTCACTGAAGTTGCAGCCAGTAGGGACGGGGACGTGCTTGCCGGCCACCTCCCTGCCCCTGCCCTGCCCTTGGCAGGTGGTCCCCCAAAGCGGGACCCCACCCTGCCTGCCCTGCTGCTCCCCGGCCTGGTGCGCATAGAGGTCAGGACCCCTAACTTCTCCCCTCCCCACAGCTGCAAACCTTGCTGGGGGCTCAGAGCCAGGCAGCCCAGGCCTGAGGGAGGCCTGTCTGACAGCAAGGCTTCTGTGTCGCTTCTCAGGACCAGGTGTCCTGTCTGTCCTTGTCCCCACCTGGAACTTCCCCCTGGGTGGGGGTCCTGGGGTTCTTTGAGGCCGCTGCTGCCCACTACTACCTGCTACTCCCAGGGGTCCCAGCACTGGTCTGGCCCTCTTATGTCCTGATGCTCGGGCCACTGTCCTGCTCCTGACATTCCAGGATGAGCCCCATCCCTGTGTTCTCTGGGTTTGTGGGCCTCTGACAAGGTTGTTCCCTTGAGTTTCTCACTAGACAGTCCCCTCCCATCCTACCATGGGGCCTGCTCCTGTCTCCTTGTCACTGTTTGATGAAACCCTGTTTGTGGGATTCCACACTCTGGCGGGTGAGCATGCAGCTGAGGTCAGCCCCCTGGGAACAGTGCCACTGCAGCTGCAATGTGCACACGTGAGGCACCCCCCAGGCACACAGGAAGGCTGGAAACAAGCCCTGTGTCTCACTGAGGTGAGAGGTGCTTGGACACTCACCCGATGCCCTCCAGAGCCGCTGTGAGGTCAGAGAGGAGCTGATGCCGCCGTGGCAGACAGCGCGGGGCAGCTTCCAGAAGGTGGCCAGAAACACACTGGGAGGAAAACTTCTCATCTGAAATGTTTTTATTATAAATGAGAGAATAGAAAATAGATGAACTAAACATTCAATTTCAGACAGTAGAAAAGAAAACCACTATAAGCCCAGAGGCTGAGGAAGCAGACCGTTGTGCGAGGGGAGATGAAAGCCAGGCTTGGCTTGGCAGACGGAAAACAGCCGCTGTGATAAACCCAAGGCCGAAAGCCGTCTCCGGGGAGCAGCTCGCATGGCACCTGGGTGACCTGACAGCTTTCTGACCTGAAGCCACCATCCGGAATGTGATTCATTCCCTCTCTGCCCGGAGGATCCGTCCCAGGAGGGTCAGGAGCAGCCCTGGGGCCGGATGACCACGGCGTCCCCTCTCTGCCCGGAGGATCCGTCCCAGGAGGGTCAGGAGCAGTCCTGGGGCCGGATGACCATGGCGTCCCCGGACCATTCTCTGGAGCTGGCAGCCTGGGGCAAGGCACGTGGCCTCTCTGTGCAGCACCTGGCTCTTGTGTAACACGGATGGTGGCAGGCTCTGGGCAGAGGAGGGTGGAGAGGCCTAAGGTGCCCATGCTGGTCTGTACGTCGGACGGTGGGGCCGGCCTGCGCCCCGCAAGCAGGAGCTGAGCCCTGGGCCTGCAGATTCTGTGGTGTGTCGGTGCAGTGCTCAGCATCAGCCGTGACGGTCACACTGGCACTCGCTGTCTGTGTCACGCATTCGCATCCACTGTCAGCGCGTCACAGTGGCGTTCGCGGTGAGGATGGGGCGTTGCCGTTGGCCGGTGTCTCAGCGCACTGGCTGTCGGGCTGGTCCCCCTGGGTTCGCTGCTGGCGTGCTTGTTCTCCGAGCACTCGCCGTTCACGTCCTCTCCGTTCCACACTGGCCTTTGCTATTTTCTCCACGCGGGTCTTATGGATGCTGTCCGAGCTGTGGAGCATCTGCCCTCCTGGCCCTCCTGCAGCTCGGGCTGTGCTCTGGATGAGCGAGGGCAACGTTAGCTGAGCGTGGGGGGCCTTGAGGTCTCTGCTGCACTTTCCCGAAGGCTGAGGTCCCTGGGGACCACTGAGCCGCCCCATGGGCCTTCCACAGCACTGCCGGTGCCAGAGGGCAGAACTCGGACCGACTCTTGCCTCATCTGCCCTCTGTTCCGAGGAGAACCCTTCCGGACTGGGCCACAGGGAGTCCAGCCGAGGTTCGGAGGGTGGTCAGGGGTCTGGCTGCCCCAAGGGGGTGCTTCTCAGAGCTTTGGGAAGACACCGGAGCCCAAGGGTCTGGATGGCCGTGGCTGAGCTGGGTCTGAGAGGCCAAGACCAGGAGGGCATCACATGCACCCGTGTCAGGGCCAGCTGGGATGGGAGACTGAGGCCGGGGCGGGTGTCCGGGTGCCCCCCACAGCTGTGCTGGGGCAAGTCTGGGGACACCACCTCCTCAGCCCTGTCCAGGAGTGTGGACCCCAGGCATCAACTGTCCAGGGGCCTGTCCAGGAGTGTGGACCCCAGGCATCAACTGACCAGAGCCCTGTCCAGGAGTGTGGACCCCAGGCATCAACTGACCAGAGCCCTGTCCAGGAGTGTGGACCCCAGGAATCAACTGTCCGGGGGCCTGTCCAGGAGTGTGGACCCCAGGCATCAACTGTCCAGAGCCCTGTCCAGGAGTGTGGACCCCAGGCATCAACTGTCCAGGGGCCTGGGGCATCCATGGGCCACACGGCAGCGCTGAAAACACAGGGCCCTTGCACCCAGGGCAGACCTCAGCACAGTTGGAGACATCACTCCTGCCCTCCTTGCGCTCGGCCCGAGAGCTAGAGCTTGCTCAGCTCAGCCCCAGGAGGAAGCAGAACCGCAGCCTCCAGAACATTGGGGTGACCCCGTCGCTGAGGGTCCCCTGGCCCAAGGCCAGCGTGTGTCTTCCGGGGGAGGAATGACCTCTGGAGCCGCCATCCCCAGCCTCGGCAGCAGGGGCTCCAGGGTCCGGGAGCCAAAACTCAGCAGCTGCTGGGTGTGCAGGGAAAGTTGTTTAGATAAAATCCAAACAAGCACCTCATATATTACAGGAGGCTGTAAAACAAACTTAGCCTTGTGCTAATATTTTGGTTTGGTTTCCACTATCCACACCTAGAAGAATGTGAGCGCCATCCCAGCCCGGCGGTCAGTAACATTCCAGGAGCTTTGGGGAGCGTCTCCATTGCCAGTCAAGAGCCAGGCGCCACGCACCCCAGTCCGGAGGGACCGCTCAGCCTCGGGCTAAAAAAGGGAGAGAGCGCAAGCAGATGGCGTCCACAGCCGCGTCTCCAGGCCACAGCGGGCACCTGCAGGGCAGCTGGGAATGGGAAGGGCAGAGGCGGCCAGAAGCTCGTGCCCTCACTGATGCCGGCCCTGGCAGTTCTTTCCAAAAATCTTCCCACTCAGCTCCCTGAGTCCCACGGATCAGGCGCCCTTAGCCTGCTGTGCAGGGGGTGGGGGAGACTGAGGCACAGAAGGCCGGGCCCCCCAGGCACCAAGCACGGCCCATGACCCAGAGCCATGGAGTCACCCAGGCCGCACAGCTGGTGAGAGCAGCCCTAGATGAGGCGGAGCCACTGGGTTCAAGGCCAGAGTTCCTGCTGCACCCCCGACCCCTGGTCCCGCCATGGAAGGTGCCAGGAGTCATGTTCCCTGGGCTCCTCTTCCCCCAAAAGCCCCTCCTCATGTATGCATGAGTGTGTGTGTGTGTGTGAGAGTGTGTGTGTGCACGTTTCCCTGCCTGAGCACTGAGCACACCTCCGCACAGGCAACTGCTGCCACCACCTCATGGTCTCCCAGTAGCCACTATGAGGAGGGCAGAGGCCACCGCCTCTAGCCCAGCAGGACGAGGGCCTCGTGACCCGTGGGGGGAGCAGAGCAGGGTCTGTGTGCCTCGTGACCCCTGGGGGGTGGGCAGAGCAGGGTCTGTGTGCCTCGTGACCCCTGGGGGGTGGGCAGAGCAGGGTCTGTGTGCAGGGTTCCTTGCCAGGCACGTGGCCAGCACTGCAGGAGCTGGCATTGTGGTGGCTCGGACGCCCTGACCCCGTGTTGATGTTTTTGGTGCAGCCCTGCCCGCGTGGCCTTAGGGTGACCCATGTGACCACAGCCCATGGCGGGCACAGCACAAGGGAGGCCACTTCCAGGCCTAGGGGGTTAGACTGTGGCTTCTGGCACCTGGAGGAGACTTGGCAGCCTGGGGGTGCCACATGGTCAGGGGCTGAGGCCTCCCCACAGCCCCGTGAGCCCCGTCCTGGACAAGGGGCTGCCCGTGGCTGCCACCTGAGCCACAGCCACCAGCCATGCTGCCCCTGAAACGGGGGAGCTAACACGTGGAGGCATTTTTAAGCTGCTACGTTTTGGGGTATTTGCTACACGGCTATAGATGTCTGATACGCTGTGGGGTATGCCCTGAATGTGGGGTCTGGTTGGCCCTAGGCTAGCATCAAGCTTTGGGCAGCCAGGGCCCCAAAGCCCCCACTCCTGCCCACTGTGGCCACGCGCCTGCAGGACCAGTCCCGCCGCTGTGTGGGCCTCGCCTCTGGACACAGGCCCCAGGACCCCCGAACTGAGGCTGGCCTGGCTCCACGTCCTCCCGCCCACTCCCGTTCAGCGCTGCCAGGCACCGTACCCTCTGCTGCCCACCAGGACCCGGCTCCTGGCAGGCCTGAGCCTCCTCCCCATCTCCCTTCACCCTCCCTGAGCACCCCCCGGGCCCATGGGCCCAGCCTGCTGAGGGTGACTTCTTCACACCCAGGCTCTTGGCCCAGCCTCCTCACCCCTGTCCCTGGGACTTCCTCCTGGCCACACCATCCTTCCAGCAGTGCTCCCAACACACATGGCCATCCCTGGGGAGTCTTCCAGGCAGCCCTACCCACCATCTCCACCCACCTCCTTCCCACCTGCTCACCACGAGGTCCTGTTCCCAGCATACGGCCCTGCTGCTGGCTGGGGAGGAGATCTGACCCCTCCTGGGCCACTGTCAGCATCCCCGGGACACAGTGCTGCCGGCCTCCCTTTGGAGTCCAACCCTGTCCTGTCCCCACCTGCCCCGTCCTCCTACCTGTGCTGGTTCTGGTGAGCCTGTCAGGTGACACACCCTGGCTGTCTCCTCCATGGGGCACCCAGTGAAGCCGAGGGAGGACCCTGGGGCTGGGACTCAGTTTCCCCTCCTAGGGGCCACGAACTGGTCTGGATGCCACAGGCTGCTGAGGGAGGACAGGTCGAGGGCACCATCGAGGGTGAGTCTTGGTCGGCTGGCAGAGGGCTGGCCCAGGGAGCCCCGTCCCTCCCTGAGGGCCCCGCCTGCTCAGTACTGTGGCCCGTGGCCCGGGTTTGGCCTGTCCATCAGATCCAGCCCTTCGGCACCGGTGTCCCCAGGGCCCTGGGCTGTGAGGGGGTGTGGAGGGGAAGGAAGGACATCTGGGGGCGGCTGTCACACATGGGAGCATCGCTGACGGAGAAGTTTTCCTATAAATGCAGCTGTGTTCATGGATGTTCCAAATGGAACTGCCAGCTGGCTTTTGGTTTATGAGACTTTATTAAAGATTACATTTCTGTTTAGTTATTTATTAGGTGTTTAGCCAATATTTCTAAATAGAGGACATGATGCTGAGACTGGGGCTACATGGCCATGGTTGTGTGAGTGTGCGTGTGTGTGTGTTGTGTGTGTGTGTGTGCACGTATAAGTGCATGTGTGAGCATGTGTGCATGCGTGAGCGTGTCTGCATGAAACAGAGCTTTCTTGTTCTTGAACTTCTGGGGCCCGAGGCGTCCGAATGCTCGAGGAACGATGATCTGCAAAGCAGGATTCCGCAGCAAGTTGGTGCCCGCGGAAGCTGAGCATCAATTTGCTCTTAGGGAATTTTCCATGTTCTTCCATCTCCCCGTTTAGGTGCCAGGTCCCGGCCTGCAGGGTGGGGCTATCGGGCCTCTGCCACCTGCTTCGTGGTGAGACTCCTGGGCGCCCACAGCCTCCGCCTGGCAGGCCAGCCCAACAGAGCCTGTTTCATCAGATGGTGTTTCCAGGAGCCAAATAACAAACACACTTTCTGGAAACAGCCAGGAGGAGCAGCCGTCTCCCAAGAGGGGAAGGAAAACAAGAGGCCGCTGCGGCTCCACTCCCCATGACCGCCTGGACCTGCAGCAGGCTGGTGCAAAGGCCCTGGAGCAGTGGCCACTGCTGTCTGCACACCAGGGCCCAGCCCATGGCCAGACCTGGGGCCGGTGGGTGTGGACTGGAGCCTGGGGCTCTGCCAGCCCCTCCTCTGGTGCCAGGCTGGTCTCCCGAGGCCCAGAGGAGGTAAAAACAGAGTCTTTAATGACACCAGGAGCCATTGGCCTTCAACCACTGCCTCCACAGTCTGGGCACCCCAGCCAGCAGCTTGAGGGCCTGGCCCAGGCAGAGGCTGGGGCAATGTGGGATGCTGTGAGGGCTGCAGGCTCTGGTGGGGGCGAAGCTGCCACCTGCTCAGAGGCCATGGCCTCCGCCTCGGGCACCTGCTCCCAGAACCGCCGGCTGCAGGGGAACCTGCCTCCATCACCCCTCAAGCCCGGGCCCTGATGCAGGGTGAGGGGGGAAGCCTCCCAGAGGAAGATGCAGGCTTGCAGGCAGCTGGAGGTCGTGGCCTGAGCTCTGCTGAGACTCGCGTACGACATTGTGTAGAAAATCTGCTTTTTAAACTCAGCCTGCTGCAGAGATGAAAGGAGGCTCTGTGCCTGCGGCGCTTTGCCGCCCATTGGAGTTGGGTGTTGGCTTTGCATGGGACCAGTGATTCTGGCAAGCTTGGCCTGTCGGCCGGGTCTGCAGCCCTTGCCGGCTAGGGCAAGGTGTGGAACGGGAGCCAAAGACAGGGTCCCAGCCCACCCCCTACAGGGGACCCATGTTGGGAAAGACAGGGTCCCACCCACCCCCCACAGGGGACCCATGTTGGGAAAGACACGCGGGGGCTCGGGACGGGTTCTGCAAAACTTGCGGGGGCGGCCACATGGGGTTCCCAGTATGTGTGACCTGGGGACGCAGCGGCAAGGCAGCTGGCACCATGGGCAGGTAGGTGCAGAGCCAGTGAGGTGCCCAGCAGCAGCCCCGCCTGAGCCTCCAGGCCCACCTGCCTCCTTTCCCAGCCTCAGTGGGGAAGGAGGAGACTTTCAGGCCCCTAGAGTCTGACCAAGGCCCCAGCTCCAGTGCAGGACCCGTTGGCCAAGATGCAGGGGAGAGAAAGGGCCCCCCTCTGAGGTCCTCGGGAGGCTGGGGAGGACCTCTGGGGGCCGCTCAGTGGTGAGGTCTGTTCCGCCTGCCCCTGCCTGCCCCCCTCACTGAACAAGGGCATCCAAGGGCACATCAAAAAGATCCCAGAGTGGCTCTGGGTGGAAGCAAGAAACAGACCCCAAGAGGGGGCTTCACTGCCTCCACCTGGCCTGCTCCAGAAGCCGCTGGCCGTGGGTCTGAGTGCCCGTGGGCAGGCTGGCGGCTGCTGGCCTCTCAACCTCCAGCCACCAGACGGCAGTTGACACAGCCTCCTCCAGGTCCCTGGGCTCCTTTCAGCTCTGTAACCTGGGAAAGAGCTCACAGGGCACGAGCTCAGCCCTGTCGCCTCCAGGAGTCTCACCCTGTATTGTTTGTCTGCATCTTCAGCTTTGCGGGTGCCCTGAGGATGAGGTGCTGCTGCTGGGTGTTTTTTAAAGTGCCTTGGAGAAGGCGGAGTAGCTGGTGCCAGGCCAGGCATCTCCAGCCCTGAGCGGGAGGATCCCTTCCAGCCATGGTCCAGGAGCCCGGGGCTGGGGCTGGTCTGGGGGCTCTGGGGCCATCTGCACCCTGGGGACTGCTCTGGAGGATGCCCTGGTCCCCTGTTCCCTGTGGCAGGAGGAAGGGGCTGTGGGGTGAGCCTCCAGCCCTCCCTGGGTGAGCAGATGACCCCATGTGGGAGAGGCCAGGCCCTGGTGTTTGCACGGCCTGGTCAAGGCCACCCTGGCTGGGCAGGTGCAGGTGCATCTGGAGGCTGTCGTGAGACTCCCTGCCCAGGACTGGACACAGGCTAGACATGCTGCCCTCGCAGACACAGCTCCCTGGGAGCCTCATGCCGCTGGGAGGAAGATGGGGTGGGTGCCATGGGAGGAAGATGGGATGGGTGCCATGGAAGATGGGTATCCTGGGAGGATAGTGGGTGCCCCTGGAGGAAGGCGGGTGCCCCCAGAGGAAGGTGGGTGCCCCAGGAGAAAAGTAGGTGCCTGGGAAGAAGGTGGGTGCCCTGAGAGGAAGGCACCTGGGTATCCCTGGAGGAAAGCGGGTCCCCGTGGAGGAAGGTGGGCACGCTGGGGAGGAAGGTGGGTACCCCGGGGAGGAAGGTGGGTACCCCGGGAACTGTGGTGCTCCAGGAGGAGGGTGAGTGCCCCGGGAACTGTGGTGCTCCGGGAGGAGGGTGGGTGCCAAGGGTCAGAGTTGCTCAGAGCTGTGATTTGCTCAGCCCTGAGCAGCTGGGAACGGGGGTGCTCGGCCCAATGCCAGCTCTGTTCCTGCCCTCTGAGATGGGGCCCTGAGTCCTGTTTCTGCTGCTGGGCTGCGCAGGGTGGCAGGGCGGGGGCCAGGCTGAGGCCTCAAGGCCACCTCCACAGCAGGCGGGAGGGAGCCACTGTCCTGATGCCCCTGCAGCTCTGGGAGCTGGGCCCCGGGCTGCTTCCTCCTCCCCCGGCGATGGGGGTCGCTCACACGAGCCCTGCAGGGGAACAGCCGACGGGGCCGAGTGGTAGCAGCTGTGTGTGGGCCCCTGCATCTCCCTCAGTGGTGGGCTCGGTCTGAGGCAGCACACACAGCTGTGCGGGGCAGGCCCTGGGCCCATCTCACGGCCAGGAGGAGGAGCACAGGCTGAAGTTGCCCCCTGGGAGGTGGCACCGGACTGCAGCCTCCACAGTGGCCAGGGGTGCCGGGGGAGGCCCGGGCCTGTGGCAGACGATGCCACGTGGCTGCTCAGGTCCCACAGCCCTGCTGGTTCAGACGCCAGCGCCGTGTGGACTCTGAAGCCTCGCTGGCCTGGCTCTCCCTCCACCCCACCCAGGGCCACGAGTGCTGTGCCGTAGAGGCGTCCCTTGGGCAGTGGTGGTGGCAGTGGAGACAGCCTGGCCTCCTCCTGCACGCCCTCGCCATCCCTGCTGTGTGGAGCTGTCCCCGCACCGGGCCGCGGGCTGGCAGCAGGGACAGTAGCCAGAGTCTGGCCTGCCCCCTCTGGACCTCCTGCGCCCCAGTCCCCATCTTCTGAGGGTGGGAGGGGTCCCCTGGCCTGGGCCCCATCAGACACCTTCCAGCCTCCCTGGGACGGGGAGAGACAGGTGCACGAGGAGTGGGGCTCAGCCGGGCTGAGCTCAACCTCTGACCCTGCAGGGAGTGGTTTGGGGACCCCCCTGGCCTCAGTTTCCCTCATCTGAAACAGGAACCTGGACATGTCCTTGGAGCCTCTGCCCATGCCACAGTCCTTGACCCACCCTCCAGAAGGTTTGGCAGGGAGCCTGGCAGGATGGTGCCCTGTCCCCTCACCTTGGCAGGGAGCCTGGCGGGATGGTGCCCTGTCCCCTCACCTTGGCAGGGAGCCTGGCGGGATGGTGCCCTGTCCCCTCACCTTGGGCTGGGAGCTTCGCAGGGGGAGCAGCTTCTGTGCTTCGTGCTAGGAGCCTCTTGGGGAAGGCACTGTGTGCCACCCTGCCTCTCCGGGGAGAACAGGGCTGGTAACACGGGCCTGGCTCCCTGAAGACGGTTGGGGAGGCATGGCCAGAGCTGCTTCCCAGGCCAGTTCTGCCTACCTCTCGCCCGAGACAAGCCCTGTGCAGAGCAGCGGCTCACCAGACAGCGGCCCAGGGGGCCCTTCCGTTCTCAGAAAAGGGGAATAGGAACCCTTCACTCTTGTCTGTCCCTGCCAGCCAGGGTTCCAGGGCTCTGGGGCTCTGTGCAGGGTTGGGGCTCGCATCTGTGTGGATCCCGGGAACCTGACAAAAGGCCAGGCTGTGCGGCACCATCTTGGCCGTGGGGCCAGTCCTGGGCGTGACCAGTGCCCGGACCCCCGACCGGGCAGTACGGCGGCTCTGCGCAAACGTCCCCCCTGCAGGGTCAAGCAGAACTGTGGTCGCTGCCAGGCTGCCTGGCACCTCAGCACCTCGGCCCTCACTGCCCACAGGAATCTGTCAGGAGCCCCACCCCGGCCATGAGCTCGGGGGGCTGGCGCCCCTGGGCTGGGCATGGCGCCCCTGGGCTGGGCATGGCGCCGGGCAGAGGCTCATGGATCTGTTGAGTGGATGGACAGACACAGCCCACAGGTGAGCGATGGCCTTGCCAGTGTGGACCTGTGTTCCTGCAAGGCTGCTTTAAATTGCTTTTGATAAATTGATTTCCCACTGACTTGTTATATTTTCAGAAACATTTCCTCTGTTTTCACTCATGACTGAGCTTTCCGTCGGCCGTGGCCCCCACGTGTAGCAGGCACCTGCAGGCTGCCCATCTTCACCACATGTGCTCCCCACCTAAGCAATGCAGAGAGGCCGCTGTGGGGGTCGTCCCTACTCAAGGAAAAGGACTGGGCTGGAGGCTGGAGCCCTGAGTTAGAGCTCCACGTTGGCCGTGGCTGTGCGGTCTCCTCTTGGGTAGGGTGTTGGCCACTTCTCAGGGCACCCGGCTGGAGCCTCATTCACTGTGAAGTGACTGCAGATGTCTGAGGAAGAGGCACCTGCTCCTTCAGGTCCCTCTGCTCACCAGGTACTGGGCACCTCTCCGGAGCTGGAGCTCTCAGTCAGCAGACACTTGGCGGCCAGGGACGGTCAGGCCTCAGAGCAGAGCTGGAAAACAGAGGGCATCAGACAAACATCACGTGGCTCTGCAGGACCCGGGGCAGGGGCCTCCAGGATGGAGAGGCTGGGCTGTGTTGGTGGCAGGTGGCCGGGAGGATGCCCCGGGGACCTCACAGCTGTTGTTGCACCCCTAAAACTCCCTCTGCCCAGAGTCCTTAGGGAGTCCGTGCTGCGCAGGTGCTGGGGCCGCTGTGCGGTGCTGTCCGAGTCACTGTGTGGAGCTTAGCTCAGCGCTTTGCTTTGAGATCAGCCAGGCAGGAATATTTACACCACAGTAACTGGCAAACACTGCACATGGGCAGCCGGGTGTCAGATGGGCACCCTGGCGCTGGAGATTTCACTGGCCAGACCCCCACCCCCAATTCCACAGGAAACCCAAGAGGGACGGTGCTCACCGTCCTCCCCTGGTGGGCTCTCAGTCCATTCCTGGGTCACAGCGGCGCCCCACGCAGGCTGCCCCACAGGGACTCCACCCTGGGCGCCATGCTGGCATCTCTCCCCCAAGTTCCTGTGTCATGGGCATTAACACAGTGAGGACAACACCTCCAGGCACCCATGCTGGGCGTGGAGCATGGATGGGAAGGCCACAAGTCCTGAGGGCCGCTTGTTACGTGGCCTGGCCCCACCCATCCCCACCTCCGTGGTCAGGGAGTTGCTGGCTGCTGCCGTAGAGGACGAGTGATTGCAGGCACCTGTGCGTCTCACGTGTGATGCCTTCTTACCAAACTCGCAAAACCTGCAGAGCCTCGGGTTCCCAGCAAGCTGCCTCTGCCCGCCAAGGAAGAGCATTCTGGAAACTGCCGCTGAGGCTGCTGCGCTTCCTCGCCCACACTCAGCACTTCCAGCGTGACCACCCCTTTGTCCGGGCGGACCCTCCAGTCAGAGGAGCCAGGGCTCAACAGAAACCTGTCCTGGGCGTGCACCCGAATGAACCGAAAACCTGTATTCACACAAAACCCGGGAGTGAATGTGGAGAGATGCTGGTGTGTAACCCCCTACGCGCTGGAGAGAACTCAGGTGCCCATCACCGGCGAGGGGATAAAACAGCTGCGGACCCCCCATACCGCAGAATCTTGGGGGCAAAAGGCACGCGCTGGCACTTCACAGCACAGGCGAGTCCTAAACGCGCTTTTCTAAGTGAAGGAAGCCAGACAGGCCGCATCCTGTGAGACCTCATTTCTGTAACATTCCGGAAAAGGCAAAACTTTGGCGACAGAGCAGAGACGTAAATCGGATCCAAAACCAGACCCTGCAGATTTCCGCACCGCCTCAGCCTAAGCTGCGCGAGCCGAAGCCTGGACCCCGCAAGTACTCATGGCTCTTCTGCCCCGGGGTGTCTGTGACTCCAAGTGCACCCTGAGAAGAAGCCCCCCGTCACTCGTCCTGGGGGCACAGCAGTAGGTGGCCAGGCCAGTGCCCCTGACCACACACACTGAGGACGCTTTCCACCCTATCGGCTTCCTTTCTTGGCGTGGTGGCTCCTGCCCAGTGACTCACGCACAGAGAGTGGCAGGAAGCCAGGGAGGACGGGCTGGCAGAGCTCTGAGCGAGGAGCATGGACACCAGCTTGGGCCAGGGCCTGTGGGGCAGGAGAGGCCGAGAGGCAGCGTGGGCTCTGAGGCTGGGCCTTGGTCGCGCTCGCTCAGCCCGGGGCCTGGTAGCAGCAGGGACGTACACAGACGTGGAGGGGCATCCGGGCAGGAGCCGTGGACATGGGAGCCCCACACGCCTGAGAGCATGGCACGCACCCACGTGGCCACGAGGGGCCAGGACGCAGCCGGTTTGCGGCTGAACCAGAACTGCAGTCGGGGTGTCCTGCATTCCCTAGGCTCGTGCTCCCACCCCCTGCCCACGAGTGTCTGCAGAGGAAGGCGGCCCTGGATCCAGCCGTGGCAGCAGGGGGTGGGTCCGGCAGCCCATGTCCCCGCGTGGAGGTCCCGGGAGGTCTGGCCCCCTGCAGGGCACCCATGCTGGGGCAGTGGATCCCGAGATGCTGAGCTGGGGCAACAGGCCTGGAGGCGCGGCTCTGCACCCCCAGAACTTGGTCTCAGCCCTGAGCTTGCCAGGATGGCCAGGTGTGAATGCGGCCAGGCTGGAGGCCCAACGTCCCGTGCAGCTACTGAGTCAGCCCTGCTCACCTGGAGGCTGCTGCCCCTCGAGGTACTGTTGTCCCGAGCCCATAGTCAGTCCCCGCCTGGGGTCTGGCGTCTGCCCTGCTAACTCTCCTGTGAGTGGGCTGGGCACGGAGGCTGAACGACTGTGTCAGCCCCTGCCCCTGCCCCTGCCCCTGCCCCCTTAGGCCTCCAGGGAGCTGCTCCAGAAAGTCCAAGAGCCAGCACCGCGGCCAGCTGGTCTGTCCTTGCAAGAGGCCGCGATACAGCCTTGACACCCAGGGGCTGAGAAGGGAGCTGGGGAGGGGCTGGAGAGGGGCTTGGGGAAGACCTGGGGAGGGTCTGGGGAGAGTGCTGGGGAGGGGTCAGGGAGGGGGGCTGGGGAGGGGGTTGGGGAAGGGTGGGGCAAGGATCTGGGGAAGTGTTGCGGAGGGGTGGGGGAGGGGTTAGGGAGGGGGCTGGGGAGGGGTTGGGGATGGAGCTAGGGAGGGAGCTGTGGAGGGAGCTGGGGTGGGAGCTGTGGGGGGAGCTGGGGATGGGCTGGGGAGGGATCTGGGGAGGGGTTAGGGAGGGAGCTGGGGAGGGAGTTGGGTGAGGGGCTTGGGAGGGGGCTGGAGGCCACTCAAGTCAGGACGAAGAAGATGCCGGTTTGTGCGGCGGTGCAGGGAGTGCCCTGCCTGCTGGCGTGCCCTTGACACGCAGACAGGGAGAGGCTGAGTGGACTTGATCAGAACAGCCCCTGCGGGCATTCACACCACCTCCTGTGGTCACCCCTAGTGGAAGGAAGGCCCAGCAAGGAGACCTTGACCTCGCTGGCCCTGGGGCTGGGACCGGCGCCCTGGACAGTGTCCACTCTCCCATTTCCATGGAACCACCATCCTCTCGGGCCTCCCCAGCCGCCAGCACACGCCACTGGAGTAGAGCCCTGTGAGGGGCCTGCCGCGTGCAGGGGGAGGGGTGTATCACGTGGGGTGGGACGAGGCTCATCTCTGGGCCTGGGGCCCCAGTACCGTCCTCTTAGGGCAGCGAGCTGCCTCCCAGTCCCCACGACCTCTGCTTGGGATGTGGGGCCTGACCCGTTCCTGCTACCAAAACCCAACTCAAGAGTTTTCCCAGATGCCCCCGGGACCCATAAAGCCTCGAAGGAAGCCAGGTTGGTGCCAGGCCCAGCTCTGTCTCCCACCTGCTAGGTGCCTGCTTGGGCTGCCCCCTCATCTGGAAGGGGTGCTAAGTGCCAGGACAGCGCCCCAGGTCCGGGGCACTCATGAGTGACAGCATCCTCCAGGTGTGGACTACAGGGTAGTCGGGCAACTGGGATCCTGCTCCTGGCCCAGCGCAGCGGAAAGGACAGAGCCAGACCCTCCAGCCACCCCTTCCAGGCTGTCTCCTTGTCCTCAGAGTGGGCAGAAGATCCCTGCCCTCCCCACCTGCCTGCTGTGGGGTCAGCTAAGACAATGGGTGTGGGACCCTCCACAAGAACAGCCCCCTGTTAACAAAATGAGACTTGAAGGAGTGAGAGCACTTCGGGGGGCCGGGTTTGTCAGGCAGAGATTGCACCAGGCAGGGGGCCGAGACTTTGGAGAGGACCTGGCTGGAGCACTCGTCTGCACACAAGGAAAACAAAGGCTCAAAGACAGGGCAGAGTTCAGACCCTCCGTTCCCAAAGTGGTGCCCCCCACCCCTCCCAGGACTGTGTCCACACAGTGGTGCCCGCCAGGGTGGGCAGGAGGTGTCCATGGACATGACTACAGCAAGGCCAGGGGCCGAGAGGGAAGGGTCAGGGAAGACTGGCCAGCTCGAGGGGATCACAGAGGCTGCCCTGGCCTTGTTCCTAGCGGACAAAATAGGACTGACAGCTACAGACAAAGCCAGGCACAGCCCAGCACAAAGACAGACAGCCGAGGAACTGTGGTGCCCCAGTAGTTAAGGGCCAGAAAGAACATTTTTAAAGATGTCAGGGTTGGCTGCCAGAATCCTCTTGTACAACATTCCATGACTGGGAGTTGTTGGGGACTTGAGTTCCAGGCTGGCTCTGCCCAGCCTTGAAAGCCTGGCTGGGCCTCGGTTGCCTCCTTGGAAAATGAGGGGCTAGACTGAGGCCCTGGGGGTCCTGGCTGTGCCCAGAGCCTGCCGTGCCAGGCCCACGAGGAGAGGTCAGGGCTGGGGGTGCCGAGCCAGCTTCCCCAGGCTCCGGGTCAGGTTATCCAGGTGGGAGGGAGGCCTAGCACCTCCCCCACTCCGAGGTCTGGCTTCTAGAATCTCCTGCAGAAACACAAACCCATCTCACTACACTGTAAACACAACATCCTTGGAATTGGAAATCAATGGCAGATGCAGGCAGATTCAGCCTCCAAAGCCACAGAAGGGCTGGGAGCGGACCGGAGCCAGGAGTTGCCACGGGAGGTGGGTGCCTGGGAGCCCCAGCACAGAGGTGGCCCCTCTCAGGCCAGGCTGGGCCGCAGCATCTGTGGGCCCCTCCACGCCCCCTCCCATCCGTGCTGGCCCCATTGGCCTGGGCTCGCAGCTGGACTGCTTCCTGGGTGGAGGCACCAGGGCCCACAGTGGTACGGCCTGGCATTGGTGCAGGCTTTTAAGCATAGATGGCATCTTTAACAAAAATGGGCTCTCACAGAATGTTTTTAAATTAAAATGTAATTCACATACCTCGGAATTTACCTCTTGAAAGTCCAGGCAGTTCAGCGGCATCCGGTCCACCCCCACTGCGGTGCAGTGCCAGGGTGAGCCAGCCACCCCCGGCGGGAGAAACACCATCCCCACAGCCGGCGCTCCTGTGCCCCCTCCTCCCAGCCCCGGGCAGGCCTCGCCTCTGTGCGTTTCCCATGGATGAGGTCATAGAGCGCGTGGCCTTCCGTGCCTGCCTCTTCCGGGCAGCAGCATGGTGGGTGTTTCTGAGGCTCCTCCGTGTCGCTCCACCCGTCAGCACTTCATGCCTCTCGGGGCTGGGCCACATTTCGTTGCAGGGATGGGCCACGTTTTTAACCTGTCCATCAGCGGACGGACGTTTGGGCTGATTTTATCTTTTGGCTATGATGAATAACGCGGTGATCAACATTGATTCACAAGTTTTGTGCGGACCCGTTTTCAGTTGTCCTGAGTATCAGCCCGGGCCTAGACTTCCCGGGTTATATGGTGATACAGTTTAAACGCATGTCCTTGCCAAGCCTCGTGTTGAACTGTCATCCCCCGTGTTGGAGGTGGGGCCTGGGGGCAGGTGTTTAGGTCACGGGCGTGACTCCCTCAGGAATGGCTTGAGCCATCCCCGTGGTGAAGAGTGAGCTCTCACTCTGGGTTCCTGTGAGATCTGGTGTTTAAACGTGTGTGGCACCTCCCCGACCCCGCTGCTCCCGCTTTCACCACGTGACTCGCCTGCTCCCCCTTCACCTTCCACCATGAGTAAGAGTTTCCTGAGGCCTCCCCAGAGGAAGAAGCCCTTATGCTCCTGTACAGCCTGCAGAACTGTGAGCCACTTAATCCTCTTCTCTTATAAATGACCTGGTCTCAGGTATTTATAGCTCCATAAAAACAGCTTAACACGTATGGTAACTCTGTGTCTAAGCATACAAGATTAAAAAAATACATTCACACCGTCTTCTGTATTGACTTCCATGGTTACCTTTACTAATGTTTTTATTTCTTCAAGTTGGTGTGAGTGGCTGTCTAGTGTCCTTACATTTCAGCCTGTAGACCTCCTTGTAGTTATCTGGTCTGCTAGTGATGAATTATCTCAGATTTTGTTTAAAAACTGTTAAAAATATTGATATATAGTATGTATACACACACACATATATATTGTATTTATATTTAGAATTTTTAATATATATAGTTTTATATATAATACATGGTATTTATATAATTTTATTTATATTTTATCATTTTATTTTGTTTATTTATTTGTATTAATTTCTCCTTCACTCCTGAAGGATAGCTATACTATTATACAATTCTCGGTTGGCAGTCTTTTTCTTTCAGCACTTTGAATATGTCATCCTACTGCTTTCTGGCCTCATGACTTCTAATAAGTCATCTGTTAATCTTATTTAGGATTCCTTGTATGAGATGAGTCCCTTCTCTCTTGCTATTTTTAGAATTCTCTCCGCTTTTCACGTTTCACAGCTTGATTATGATGTGTCTGGGTGTGGGTCTCTCTGAGTTTATTCTACTTGGAGTTTGTTGAGCGTCTAGGATGTGTAGATTAATGTTTTCATCAAAGTTGAGTTGGCTGTTATTTTTTCAAATATTCTTTCTTCCCTTGCCTCTGTCTCCTCTCCTTGTGGGACTTCATGATGTGTGTGTTTGTGTGGTTGATGGTGTCCCGGAGGTCTCTGAAGGTCTCTGTTCATTTTTCATCATTCATGTTGTTTTCGCTGCTGTTCTGTTTCTCAAGCTGGACAGGCTGACCTGTCTTCTAGTTTGTCCATTCTTCTGCCTGCTCAAATTTCTGGTGAGCCCCTACAATGAAAGCTTCATTTGAGTTATTGTACTTTTCACCTCCAGAATTTTTTTAAAGAAATAATTTACATCTCTTTGTTGTATTTTCTACTTGGTGATACACTGTTCTCATACTTTCTTTTAGCTCTTTATACATAGTTTCCTTTAGTTCTTTGGACCTATTTAAAGCAACTGATTTAAAGTCTTTGTCCGTAACTCTAATCTCTGGGCTTTCTCAGGGACAGATTCTATTGTTTGCTTTTTTCCCCATGTTTGAGACTTCTTAAAATTTCTTTGTATATCTCTAAAACTCTTTTTTGAAAACTGGACATTTAATATAATAGAATGTTGTAATTCTAGAAATCAAATTCTCTTCCCTTCCCCGAGTTTGTTGTTTCTACTTGTTATTGTTGTTATTTGTTTAGTGATTTCTGGACAAATTCTGTCGAATCTATATTCTTTATCATGTGTGCCCACTGAAGTCTCTGCTCGCTTAGCTTAGTGGCCATCGAATAATTGGGCAGAGATTTCCTTAAGCATCTGGAACTGAAGAGTCTCCGTCTATGCTGAGGAGCTCCGTACAGTGATGGGGCATGCCGTCAACACTCAGCCAGGCAGCTGTCAACTCTGCCTCAGCCTTCACTGCCTGCCTAACGATTAGTGGGAGATGAGCACGTGTACAGCCCTGGGCATGAGCATGGCCTTTGAGGTTCCCAGGAGTATGCAGGAGCTTTTCAGATCTCCCTATGGATGTCTCATTCCCCCAGATTTTCCTGTTAAACATTTTTGTTAGCCTATTTCCCCCCCCAACCTGTTATCCACTGCCTCAGGCACCTGCAATGTTAAATAATTGCCTGGTTTTTTTTTTCTTCTTCTTTTTAACAAATGCCCCTGGGCTGT